>NT_187620.1:0-233762 GCF_000001405.40 Homo sapiens | reverse complement strand
GAATTCTTACAGGGAGAAAGGTCAGTTTCACTCACAAAAGTATACTTGGTCAATTGCTGTTAGTTATAAATAGCTCAAAAGAAAGGTTTTCCTGATGCTTCTTCTAACAGAGTGGCAGTCTTCCAAACAGGATGTTGTCTGTTCACTTTGGAATTGCTATCCAGAGAGCAAGCAGCTCTTTGTCGGCCAGGCGAGAGCTGTTTATTAGGCACTGTAGAATCTAGCAGCATCTCGAGATGGAGCAGGGACCCCTCTTAGGGGCTTACTCGATCACCATCAGCCAGTATGGAGATAAAGGAAAATCTTGACTTCCTTCAAGGGAAATTCCAGGCATCTAGCTAGGCTTGAGAAGTAAATGAGCAACTTGATCAACGAGAAGGTAATGGTAACTTAAAACAATAGCCAAGGAAATTGGAGTCGTAACATATTTGGTTCCCTGTGAAAACTAAAGATAACATCTTAACATATGTCTCTGAGTTGTTTCCGGAAACCTGGACCCTCACCAGAAAATACTAAAAATACAAAAATTAGCCAGGTGTGGTGATGAGTGCCTGTAGTCCCAGCTACTCGGGAGGCTGAGACAGGAGAATTGCTTGAACCCAGGAGGTGGAGGTTGCAGTGAGGCGAGATCATGCCATTACACTCCAGCCTGGGCGACAAGAGTGAGACGTCTGCTAAAAAAAAAAAAAAAAAAAAAGAAAACCAAAGACATTGCTTACTCTCATCATCCATTAGTTACTCTCATCATCCAGTTACTCTCATCATTCATTTTAGTAAAGGCTCCTCCAGAAGCTGATAGCAGTCTCACTCAGATTGTACCCTCTGGTTTCTGTACTTTGTTTTGCTCCTCCCCAACAGTTACTAGGTTCTTGGTAACCACAATTCTCAGAAGTACTTTCTATTGTCCCTACATGATTTGGTCTTTGGGAGGTGGCTCTGAGCTAGTGGCTGAGACTCACATTCACTGAAATCTAAGCTTAGTGTAGCATCAAGATTGAAGCCAGCACTCTGTTTTAATTTTACTTTAGCTATGACAGGTAACAATAACTATGGGATTGAATATTACCCTTTTTTCTTATTTTGTTTGCATTTTCTTAGGCATCCAGTAAACTGACTCCTCCAAGAGTTGGATTCATTTCTAAATTCCCCAGCAAACTTTACCTTCAGTAACTGTGGCTCTGTGCCATGGGTAACTACATGGCCACTCAGGAATCAGAGGTTCCTCATTACTCACCTTTTTATTTTTTTGCTTTCTATACATTCAATTGTATCTATATCATTGTGAAAGAAAACAGAATCTCCAGGCCCCCAACTCACTATGGCTAAGGGCAAGTGAAGTTTGGAAACGTAGTCACACAATCCTGCTTTCTTTTTTCCCCAAACACATAGCTGTAATTTCACAACCCTGCGTCATTGCCGTATCATTGGGGTAAACGAGAATATCCCAGTGACACAAGGACACATATCTTCCCAGATGGCTTTCCTCATAAGTTGCTCACGCGGAAATTCCTTGTGAGCCCCTAACTCTTTCAGGAGAAATATTGTAAACAAAAAGTAAAATTCTAATCCCCCCAACCAACCGAATAGAGCCCCTTCTTGTCCAAGGGTATCCCCTGCAAACCTGAAAAACTAATTCAGGTCACGATGAGAAGGCAGGGGGTCAGACACACCTCATTATATTTCTTCCCTTTGGAGTTCATGCAAAGTGACCAGCACTAACATTAAAACAGAGATCCTGGCTGGGCACAATAGCTCACATTTGCAGTCCCAGCACTTTGGGAGGTCGAGGTGGGCAGATGACACGAGGCCAGGAGTTCAAGACCAGCCTGGCCAACAGGGCAAAATACCATCTCTACTGAAAATACAAAAATTAGCTGGGTGTGGTGGCGCACACCTGTAATCCTAGTTACTTAAGGGGCTGAGGCACGAGAATCACCTGAACACAGGAGGCAGAGGTTTCAGTGAATGAAGATCGCACCACTGCACTCCAGACTGGGTGACAGAGTGAGACCCTGTCTCAAGAAATAAGAGGAAAAAATAGAGATCCCAACAGTGACGGAACAGACTCTTTGTTGCAATAAGATAACCGACTCCAACCTGACTCTGGTATAGCATCACATAATAGATAACATTCCCTAAAGGAAATCAAAGTATTTTATCCCCAAATGTATTTCTTTGACATATTTTGGAATGGCCCTGCAAAGCCATCTCTTATTGGAGAAATCTATAGAGCATCCTCTTCCTGGCTTGGCACGGTGGGTCACGCCTATAATCCCAGCACTTTGGGAGGCTGAGGTGGGCAGATCACAAGGTCAGGAGTTTGAGACCAGCCTGGCCAATATGGCAAAACCCCATCTCTACTAAAAATACAAGAAAAAAAAATTAGCTGGGTGTGGTGGTGTGCACCTGTAGTCCCAGCTACTCGGGAGGCTGAGGCAGAAGAATTGCTTGAACCTGGGAGGTGGAGGTTCAAGCAATTGTATATTTAGGATATTACAAGTATCCTGGATTAAGTAATATCCTGGATATTAGGAACCATATTATAAGGAGGGTGGACACCTTTTTCGATATGGGGAGTAATATTATGCTCTCCCCCCAGAATATTATGAACAATTTCACAAGGGGGGTGTACACATCCTGTGACAATGGGAGTAATATCATCCTCTTTAAAAAAATATTAGTATCGATATCATGGAGGGGTGTACACGCTCTGCAATATTGGGAGTAATATTATTCTCTTTTTCCCCGGATATTCACAAGAATGTCACAGAGGTGGTGTACAATTCCTGTGATATTGGGAGTAATATATTCTCTCCCCCTAGATATTAGAAACAATATCAAATGGTGAGTGTACACACTCTGTGAAATTGGGAGTAATGTCATCCTCTTCCCCCTGGATAGTAAAAACAATATTACTGGGGGTTGTGTAGACTTTCTGCGATATTGGGAGTAATATCATCCTATCCCGCCCTGGATATTAGGATCAATATTACAGAGGGTGTACACCCTCTGCGATATAGGGAGTAATATCATCCTTTCCCCCCGAATATTAAAATCAATATCACAGAGGAGTATACACCTCCTGTGATATTGGGAATAATATCATCCTCTCCCTTCCCTGTACGTTAGAAACAATATCACAAGGGGTGTGAACACCTCCTGTGATATTGGGAGTAACATCACCCTATTATCTTTGGATATTAGGAGCAATATCACCTTGGGGGTGGGCACCTTCTGTGATATTGGTAGTAATATTATTCTCTCCCTCCCTGGATATTAGGACCAATATCACAGAAGGGGTTTACACCTTTTCTGATATTGGGAGCAATATTATCCTCTTCTCTTCTGGATATTAAAAACAATATCAAAAGGTCGGTGTACAGCCCCTGTGATATTGGGAGTAATATCATCCTTTTTCCCCATAAATATTAAAATTAATATAATTTTCTTCCCCCTGGCTATTAGGCACAATATCACAAGGGTGTGTACACCCCCTTCGGTATTAAGCGTAATATCATCCTCTCACCCCCTGGTTATTAGAAACAATGTCACGGGGGAGTGTACATCCCCTGCGATATTGGGAGTAATATCATCCCTACCTCCCTGGATATTAGAAACAATATCACAGGGGAGTTGTAAGCTTCCTGCGATATTGGGAGTAATATTATCCTCTCCCCTTCTGGATATTAGGAACAATATCACAGGGAAAGTGTACACCTTCTGTGATATAGGGAGTAATATCATTTTCTCCCCCACTGGATGTTAGAAACAATATCACAGGGAAGGTGTACAGCCCCTGCCATATTAGGAATAATATCATCCTCTCCCCTCATGGATATTAGGAGCAATATCACAGGGGAATGTACACCCCTTGCGATATTGAAAGTAATGTCATCCTCCCCTACTCTGGATATTAGGAACAATATCACAGGGGTTGTGTACACGCCCTGCAATATTGGGAGTAATATTCTCTCCCCCACTGGATATTAAAAACAATATCACAGGGGGTTGTACACCCCCTGCAATTTTGGAAGAAATATTATCTTTTCTCCCCGTGTATATCAGAAACAATATCACAAGGGGGTGTACACACTCTGCGATATCGGGAGTTACACTGTCCTCTTTCCCCATACATATTAGGGACAATATCAATACGTGGGTGTACATCCCCTGTGGTATTGTTCTTAATATCATCCTCTGCCCCCCTATATAATAAAAACAATATCACAGGAAAGGTGTACATTTCCTTTGATATTGAGAGTGATATCATCCTCTTTCCCCTTAGATATTATAAACAATATCACAGGAGGGGTGAACACCCCCTGTGATATAGGGAGTAATATCATCCTCTACCGCCCTGAATATAAAGAGTAATATAACAGAGGGGGTGTACACACTCTGTGATATTGACAGTAATATAATTCTCTGCCCCCCAGATATTAGGAACAATATCAAAAAAGGGGTGTACAACCCCTGTGATATTGGGAGTAACATCCTCTCCTTCCCTGGATATTACAAACAATATCACAGGGGAATGTACACCCTCCCCTGTGTATGGGGTAGTAATATAATTATCTCCCCCACTAGATATTAGAAACAATATCACAGGGAAACAATATCACTGCGATATTGGGAGTAATACTATTTCTCCCAGCCCGAGTATTAGAAACAGTATCACAGGGGGAGTGTACACTCCCTGCAATATTGAGAGTAAAACCATCCTCTCCCCACTTGGATATTAGAAACAATATCACAGGGAAGGTATACGTCCCCTTAGATATTGGGGGTAATAGCATTCTCTTTTTTCCTGGGTATTAGGAGCAATATCACAGGGGTGGTGTACACCCTGCAATACTGGGGGTAATATCATTCTCTTCCCTTTTGGATATTAGGAACAATATCACAGGGAAAGTGTGCACCTTCGGCGACATTAGGAGTAATATCATACTCTTCCCTCCTTGATATTAGCAACAACGCCACAGGTTTACATCCCCTGTGATATTGGGAGTCATATCATCCTCTTTTCCCCTTGATATTAGAAGCAATATCACAAAGGGTGTATTCATTCCCTGCTATACTGGGAAGAATATCAACCTCTTTTTTTCCCCTGGATATTAGGAATAATATCCCAGGGGGAGTGTACCCATTCTGCTATATTGAGAGAAATATCACCCTCATTTCCCCTGGATATTAGAAACAATATAAAAGGGGGGGGTGTACACTTCCTGTGATATTGGGATTGATATCATCCTCTTCCTTTTTGGATATTAGGAACAATATCACAGGGGGGTGAACACTCTTTGTGATATGGAAAGTAATATTATCCTCTCCCCCCCTGGATATTAGGAACAATATCAAAGAGGGCATATACATCCCCTGCGATATTGGGAGTAATATTATCCTCTCCCCCCCTAAATCCTAAATATTAGGAGCAATATTACAGGGTGGAGTTTACAACCCTTGCAATATTGGGAGTAATATCACCCTCTCCTCCCCTGGATATTAGGAACAATATCACAGGGATGTGCACACCCCCTGCAATATGGAGAGTAATATCATTCTCTCCCTTCCTGGATATTAGGAACCATATCACAGGTGGGGTTCACAACCCCTGTGATATTGGGAGTAATATCATCTTCTTTTTTTCTGGATATTAGGAACAATGTCTATTGGGGGAACTAGCCCCCAATATTTCAAAGTAGGTTCTTTTCTATTTTCCTTAAGTGTCACCTGGTCTGAGAAATAAAGTGAAAGAGTACGAAAGAGAAATTTTACAGCTGAGCCTCCGGGGTGACATCACATATCGGCAGGTTCTGTGATGACCACCTGATCTGCAAAACCAGCAAGTTTTTATTAGGGACTTCAAAAGGGGAGGGGGATACGAATAGGGAGTGGGTCACAGAGATCACATGCTTCAAATGGCAATAAAAGATCACAAGGGCAGAAGGGCCTAGCAAGGTCACAAGGCCAGGGAGAAAATGGAATTACTATTGAGGTTCCATGTCCTGCTGTGCACGCATTGTCATTGATAAACATCTTAACAGGAAACGGGGTTCAAGAGCAGAGAACTGGTCTGACTAGAATTCGCCAGGCTGGAATTTCTAATCCTAGCAAGCCTGAGGGCACTGCAGGGGACCAGGGTGTATTTCATCCCTTATCTTCAACCACATAAGGGATACACCCCCAGAGCGGCCGTCCATAGGCCTCCCCTAGGAATGCGTTCCCTTCCCAGTGATATTTCTCCTACTCATTTTCTGCAATAAGAAAAATGTGACTCTGTTCTGCCCAGCCCCACAGGCAGTCAGACCTTATGCTTATCTCCCTTGTTCGCTGAACATCGCTCTTATCCTGTTCTTTTTCAGGGTGCCCAGATTTCATATTGTTCAAATACACATGTTTTATAAACAATTTGTGGAGTTAATGCAATCATCACAGGGTCCTGAGGCGACATACATCCTCAGCTCACAAAGATGATGAGATTAAGAGATTAAAGTAAAGACAGGCATAGGAAATTATAAAAGTATTGATTGGGGAAGTGATAAATGTCCATGAAATCTTCACAATTTATGTTCAGAGATTGCAGTAAAGGCAGGCATAAGAAATTATAAAAGTATTAATTTGGGGATAATATCCCTGTAATATCCCTGGATATTACAAACTTTACCACAAAGGGGTGTACACCCCCTGAGATATGGGGATAATTACACCTTCCCTCCCCCCTTGATTTTACGATCCATACTACAAGGGGGTGTACACTCCCTGCAATATGGGGAGTAATAGCACCTTTTCCCCTGCTGGATATTACGAACCACAGGGGGGTGTACACCCCCCTTGATATGGGGAGTCATAGTGTAGCAGGAGGAGTCGCGGACAAAACCCCACAGACACCGAGGTAGTGAAGGAAGTGGCTTTTAATCAGCTGGAAGCATCGAAAGACTAGCGTCTCAAAATCCGAGCTTGTTGAGTGCACAATTTCTGTCCTTTTTAAGGGCTCACAACACTAAAGATCTTACATGAAAGGGCCATGATTGATTGAGCAATCTAGTGGGTATGTGACAGGGGCTGCAGGCACCGGTAATCAGAGTGAAACAGCACAGAACAAGAAATTTCACAATGTCCTTCCATACAATGTCTGGAATCTATGGATAACATTGGTTGCTAGGTCATGGGTTGAATTTTAACTATCAGGCTAAGGTCAGGCAGGCCCAGGCCTGGTTTCGGGTCTGGTTTTGGGTCTGGTGCCTGGCGCCGGGCTGCCTGCTTTTGGTTTCACTTCCTTGTTTCTTCTTAAAACAGGTACTGAGTATAAAATAATATAGAACAATATGGGGGGTCTCTTTCTCTCTTCTTTTGATAGCATCCCCTCACCCCGGATATTACGAACCATACCATAGGGGGGTGTACGCCTCCTGCAAAATGGGGAATAATAGCACCCTCTCTTACCCTGGATATTTCGAACCATACCACAGGGAGGTGCACTCCCCCCACGATATGGGGAGTATGGGGGTAACAGTACCCTCAATCCCCTGGATATTACGAACCATACCACAGGGGAGTGTACATTTCCAGCGATATGAGGGGTAACAACACCCTCTCCGTTCCTGGAGAATACAAAACATACCACACAGGGGTGTACACACCCCGCGATATAGGGAGTCATAGCATCCTCTCTCCCCCTGGATATTAGGAACCGTACCGCAGCAGGGTGTACATGCCCCGCACTGTGGGGAGTAATAGCACCCTCTCCCTGCCTGGATATTATGAACCATACCACAGTGGGGTGTACACCCCTTGCAATATGGAAAGTAATAGCACCCTCTTTCCTTCTGGATATTAAGAACCATACCAAAGGGGGGTGTGCACTCCCTGCGATATTGAAAGTAATATTATCCTGTTCCCTTCTGGGTATTAGGAACAATATCACAAGGGAATGCACATGCCCTGCGGTATTTTGAGTAATATCATCCTCTCCCCTTCTGAATGTCAGGATCAATATCACAGGGAGGTGTACACCTTCTGCGATATTGGAAGTAATATCATCCTCTCCTTTTCTGGATATTAGGAACAATATCACAGAAGGTATGAACACCCCTGCTATATATCCAGTAATATCAGCCTCTCCCCTCCTGGATATTAAGGAGAATATCACGGGGGGGGGGGTGTAATATCATCCTCTTCCCTGCTGGATATTAGGAACAACATGACAGGGTGGGTGTACACTTCCTGGATAATGGGATTAATATCATCCTCTTTCTTCCTGGATATTAGGAACACTACCATAGGGGAAGTGTAACCCCCCTGCAATATTGGTAGTAATATCATCCTCTTTTTCCCTGATTATTATGAAGAATATCACAGCGGGGATGTACAATTTCTGCTATATTGAGAGTAATATCATCTTCTCCCCGCCTGAATATTAGAAACAATATCACAGGAAAAATACACACCCTCTGCGACATTGGGTGTAATATCATACTCTTTTCCCATGGATATTAGAAATAATATCATAGGTGGGGTGTATACCCCCTGCGATATTGGGAGTAATATCATCCTCACCACTTCTGGATATTAGGAACAATATCACAGGAGGTGTGTACACCCCTTGCTACAATGGGAGTAATATCATGCTCTTTCCCCCTGGATACTAAAAACTATATCACAAGAAAGGAGTACAAACCCTGTGATATTGAAAGTAATATTATCTTCTTTCCCCCTTAATATTAGGAACAATATCACATGGGGTGTGTACACCTCCTGCGATATTGAGAGTAATATTATTTTCCCCTCGCCTGGATATAAGGAACAATATCACAGGAGGGGTGTACACCCCCTGTGATAATGAAAGTAATATAATCTCCTCCCCCTCTTGATATTAAAAACAATATCACCTGAGGAGCACACACCCCCTGTGATATGGAGACTAATATCATTTTCTCCCCACCGAAATATTTAGAACAATATCACGGGGGGTGTACACCTTATGTGATATTGGGAGTAATATCATCCTCTCCCACCCTGTATATCAAAAACAATATCACAGGGAGTGTGTACACTCCCTGTAATATTCACAATAATATCATCGTTTTCTTCCCTGGATATTAGGAACAATATCACAAGGGTGGTGTACATCCCCTGTGATATTGGGAGTAATATCATCATCTCCTCCCATGGATATTAGGAACCATATCACAGGAGGGGTGTACACCTTGTGCGATATTGGGAGTAATATTATGTTCTCTCCACCTGGATATTAGGAACAATATCACATGAGCGGTGTACACCCCCTGCGATATTGGGAGTAATGCCATTTTCTCCCCCTTGATATTAAAAGCAATATCACCAGGCGGAGTGCACACCCCCTGCGATATCGAGACTAATATCATTTTCTGCCAACCTAACTATTAAGTACAATATCACAGGGGGTGTTCACCCCTTGCCATATTGATAATAATCTCCCCTCCTGGATATGAAAAACAATATCACAGGGGCGTCGTGCACCCCCTGCGATACTGGGAGTAATATAATCCTCTCCACACCCTGGATATGAGGAACAATATTACAAAGCGGGTGTACACCCCCTGGAATATTCACAGTAATATCATCGTTTCCTTTCCTGGATATTAGGAACAATATCACAAGGGGGGTGTAGACCTCCAGCGATTTTGGGAGTAATATTTTCCTCTCCCCCTCTGTATATTAGAAACCATCATGGGGGGGTGTACACCACCTGCGATATTGGGAGTAATATCATCCTCTTCACCCCTGGTTATTAGGAACAGTATCACTTGAGGGGTGTACCTCTACTGCGATATCAGGCATAATAACATCCTCTCCCCCCGAATATTAAGAACAATATCACAGGTGGACTGCACACCCTCTGTGATATTGAAAATAATATCATCCTCTGCTTCCCTGAATATTAGGAATAATATCACAAGGGGGGTGGACAACCCCTTCTATATGAGGAGTAATATCCTCTTCCTTCCTTTATATTAGGATCAATATCACAAGGGGGGTGTACACCCCCTGCAATATTGGGAGTAATATTACCCTCTCTTTTTCTGGATATCAGAACAATATCACAGGGGAAGTATACATTCCCTGTGATATTGCGAGTAATATTCTTTCCCTCTACTAAATATTTGCAACAATATCACAGAAAAGGTGTACAACCCCTACGATATTGGCAGTAATACTATTCTCTTCCCCCTGGATATTAGGAACAATATTACAGGTTAAATGTACACTCCTAAGATATTGGGAGTAATATCATTCTCTTTTGCTCTGGATATTAGGAACAATATCGCAAGGGCGATGTACACTCTCTGAGATATTGAAAGTAATTTAATTATCTCCCTCCCGGCTATTAGGAACAATATCACCGGGGAGTGTACACCCTCTGCAATATTTAGAGAAATAAGATCCCCTTTTCCCCTAGATTTTAAGAACTATATTACAGGGGATGTGTGTACACCCCCTGCGATGTTGGGAGTAATATCATCCTCTCTCCCCCTAAATATTTGGAACAATATTACAGGGGTGGTGTACACACCCTGCGATACTGGCAATAATGTCATCCTCTCCTTTTCTGCATATTGGGAACAACATAATGGGGGAGTGTACACCTCCTGCGATATTAGGAGTAATATCATCTTCTTCTGCCCTGGTTACTAGGAGCAATATCACAGAAGGTTGTATAACCCCTGCGATATTGGGAGTAATATCATCCTTCCCCCCACGTATATCCCAGCCTTGATATTAGGAACAATATTACAGGGGAGGTGTATACCCCCTGCTATAAGGGGAGTAACATAATCCCCTTTCTTCCTGGATACTAGCAGCAATATCACAGGGGTTGTGTACAACCCCTCCGATATTGAAAGTAACTTCATCTTCTTTCCCTCTGAATATTAGGAACAATATGATGCGGAAGGTGTACACCCCCTGTGGTATTGAGAGTGATATCATTTTCTCCTAGCTTGGATATTAGAAACAATATCACAGGAGGGGTGTACACCCACTGCGATATCGGGAGTAATATAATCCTCTCCCACCCCTGGATATTAGGAACAATATTAGGATATTAGGAAGGTGTACACTCCTTGGAATATTTATAGTAATATCATCGTTTCCTTCCCTGGATATTAGGAAAAATATCAGAAGGGGGTGTACACACCCCAGAGATTTTGGGAGTAATATCACCCTCTCCCCCGGATATTAAGAACAATGTTATTGGAAGTGTGTATGCCTTCTGCGATATTTGGACTCATATCATTTTCTCCCAACCTAAATATTAAGAACAATACCACAGAGGGTGTACAGCTCCTGCAATATTGAAAGTAATATCATCCTCTCCTTCCCTAGATATTAGGAACAATATCACAGGGCGTGTACACCTCCTGCGATATTGGGAGTAATGTCATCCTTTCCCATCCTTGATATTAGAAAAATATCACAGGGGGGTATACACTCCCTACACAAATTGAAAGTAATATCCTCTCCACCGCTGGATATTAGGAGCAATATAACGGGGGAGGGCCTGTATACACCCTGCAATATTGGGAGCAATATTATTTTCTCCTCCACTGGATTTTAGGAATAATATCACAGTGTGGGTGTAAACCCCCTGCGATATTGGGAGTAACATCATCCTCTTTCCCCATGGATATTAAATACAATATCACAGGAGGGGTCTACACTGTCTTTGATATTGGGAGTAATATTATTCTTTCTCTTCCTTGATATAAGGAACAATATCAGAGGGGGATATACACCACCTGCAATATTGGGAGTAATATCATCCTTTCCCTTTCTGAATATTAGGAACAATATCACAAAAAAGGTGTACACTGCCTGCAATACTGAGAGTAATATAATCCTCTCCCTTCCTGGATATTAGAAACAATATCCCAAAAGGGATGTACACTCCCAGCGATATTGAAAGTCATATAATCGTTTCCTTCCCTGGATATTATGAAGAATATCACAGGGTGGGTGTCCACTTTCTGCGATATTAAGAGTAATATCATCCTCTCTCCTCCTGAATATTACGAACAATATCGCATGGAGGATGTACATCCCTTGCGATATTGGGAGTAATATCCTCCTCTCTCCCCCTTGATATTAGGAACAATATCACGGGGGAGCGGTGCACACACCCTGCGATATTGGGACTAATGTCATTTCCCCCCACCCGGATCATAGGAACAATATAACAGGGAAAGTGCACACCCCCTGCGATATTGAGGGTAATATCATCCTCTCCCGCCCTGGATATTAGGAACAATATCACAGGGCGTTGTACACCTCCTGCGATATTAGGAACAATATCATGCTGTCCCCTTCTGTATATTAGGAACAGTATCACAGGGGGTTGTACACCCCCTGCGATATTGGGAGAAATATTATCCCCTTCTCCCCTGTATATTAGGAACCATATCACAGGCTGTGTGTACACCCCTTGTCATATTCTGAGTTAGATCATCCTCTCCCCCTCTGGATATTAGGAACAATATCATAGGCGTGGGTACACCCCCTGCAATATTAAGAGTAATATCATCCTCTCCCTCCCTGAATGTTAGGAACAATATCACAGGGGGAAAGAACCCCCTGCGATATTTGGAGTAATATCATACTCTCCCCACCTGTATATTCAGAACAATAACACAGGGGATTTATACATCCCATGCAATATTGAAAGTAATATCATCCTCTCTCCATCTGGATATTAAAAAAGAATATCAGAGGGGGGAGTACACAATACATCCCCTTTGTATTGGGAGTAATTTTATCTTCTCTCTTTTTAAATATTAAAAACAATATCACCGGAAAGGTTTACTCCCTCTGTGATATTGAAAGCAAAATCATCCTCTACCCCCTGGATGTAAGAAATAATATTATGGGGAGGGTGTACATCTTCTAAGATATTGGGAGTCATATTACTTTCTCCCCTCCTGGATATTAGAAACAATATCACGGGGAGGGGGTACAGACCCAGCAATTTTGAAAATAGTATTATCCTAACTCTTCTTCCGCTGGATATTAGGAACAATATCGCAGGGGTTGTGTAAACTCCCTGTGATATTGAAAGTAATATCATCCTCTCCCTCCCTGGATATTAGGACCAATATCTCAGGAAGGTTGTACACCCTTTGCGATATTGGGAGCAATATTATCCTCTTCCACCCCGGATATTAGGAACAACATCACAGGGTGGGGTACACCCCCTGCGATATTAACAATAATATCATCCTCTCCTCCCCTGGATATTAGAAACAATATCACAGGGATGCGTACACCCCCTGTGATATTGAAAATAATATCATCATCTTTTCCTCTGGATGTTAGGAACAATATCACACAGGGGGTTTACACCGCCTGTGATATTGGGAGTAATATCATTCTCTCAATCCCTGGATATTAGGAACAACTTCACAGGGGGAGTGTACACCCCCTGCGATATCGGGAGTATTATACCCTTCTCCCCCTGTGAATATTAGAAACAATATCACAGGGAATCTGTACATCCCCTGTGATATTGACAATAATATCATCCTCTCTCCCCCAGATATTAGGAACAATATCATAGAACGGGTGTACACCCGCTGGAATATTGGGAGTAATATCATTTTCTCCACCCCCGGATATTAGAAACAATATCACAGAACCAGTGTATACGCCCTGCAATATTGACAGTAATATCATCCTCTCTTTTCCTGGATATTAGGAACAATATCACAAAGGGGTGTACATGCCCTGTGCTGCTGGAAATAGTATCATCCTGTGTCTTCCTGGATATTAGGAACAATATTAAAGGGGGAATGTACACCCCCTGTGATATTGGGATTAATATTTTTCTTTCCCCTCCTGGATATTAGAAACAATATCACAGAGAGGGTGTACCCCCCTGCAGTATTAGGAGTTATATCATCCTGTTTCGTTCTGGATATTAAAGACAATATCTCAAAGGGTGTGTACACCCCTTTCAGTTTTGGAAGGAATGTCACCCTCTTCTCTCCTGGATATTAGGAACAATGTCACAAAGAGGAAGTACACACCCTGCGACATTGGGAGTAATATCATCCTTTTTCCCCCTTGATATTAGAAACAATATCCCAGCGGGGTGTACAGCCCCTGTGATATTGGGAGTAATATCATCCTCTCTCCTGCTGCATATTGGCAACAATATTACAGAGTGTATGTACACCCCCTGTGATATTGGGAGTAATATTCTTTCTCCCCATGAATTTTAGGAACAACATCACAAGGCGGGTGTACATGCCCTGGGATATTGGGAGTACTATTATCCTCTCACACCCTGGATATTAGGAAGAATATTACAGCGGGGTGTACACCCCCTGTGATACTTGGAGACATATCCTCTCCCCTTCTGGATATTTTGAACAATATGATAGGTGGTGTACAGCCCCTGCCATATGGGGAGGAATGTCATTTTCTCCTTTCCCGGATATTACAAACAATATCACAGTGGGGTGTACACCCACTATGATATTGCAAGTAATATCATCCTCTCCCATTCTGAACATTCCACTTCCCCCTGGATATTACGAATAATATCCCGGGGCGGGGGTGTACACCCCCTGCGATATTAAGAGTAATATCAGCCTCTTTCTTCTGGATGTTACAAACAATATCACAGGGAGGTGTACACTCTCTGAGATATTAAGAGTAATAACATCCTTTTTTCCTCTGGATATTTGGGACAATGTCACAGGAGGTGTACACACTTTGCGATATTGGGACAGATATCATCCCCTCCCCCTCTTAATATTATGAACAGTATTCAAAAATGTACACCCCCTGCAATATTGGGAGTAACGTTATCATCTTTAATTCTGGATATTACGATCAATATCAGAAGGGGGTGTACACCTACTTTGATATTGGGAGTAATATCATCCTCTCCCCCCCGAATATTGTGAACAAGATCACAGTGTGGTGTATGTCCCCTGCAATACTGGGAGTAATATCTTTCTTTCCACTCATGAATATTAGAAACAATATTACAGAGGGAGTGTACACCCCCTGCGATTTTGGAAGTAATATCATCTTCTCCACTTCCGAATATTAGGAACAATATCAAAGGGGGGGCCTACACTCCCTGAGATGTTGGGAGTAATAGTATCCTCTCCCCTCCCTGGATATTACAAACAATATCACAGGGGAGTGTACACCTCCTGTGATATTGGGAGAAAATTTTCTCTCATTCCGGATATTATAAACAATAACACAGTAATGTGTACACCGCCTGCGATATTGAAAGTAATATTATCCTTTTTCCCTCTGAATATTGTGAACAATATCACAGGGAATTGTACACCCCCTGCGATATTGACAGTTATGTCATCCTCTTTCCCCTAGGATATTATGAACCATATCACAGGGTGGTGTATATCTTCTGCGAGATTCAGAATAATATCATCCTCCCTTCTTCTGGATATTATGAACAATATCACAGGGAGTGTACAGTTTTTGTGATATTGTTAGTAATATCATCCTCTCCCCTTCTTAATATCATGACAATATCACAGAAAGGTGTACACCACCTGCAATATTGGGAGTAATATCATCCTCTCTACCTCTGGATATTACGAACAATATCACGGGGGGGTGTACACTTCCTCTCCTCCCCTGGATATTATGAACAATATCATAGAGTGTTGTACACACCCTGCGATATTGGGAGTAATATAATCGTCTCTTCCCCTGAATATTACAAACAATAAAACAAGGGGGTGTACACCCCCTGTGATATTAGGAGTAATATCATCATTTCCCCATCTGGATATTACAAACAATGTCAGAGTAAGGTGTACACCTTCTGCGATATTGGCAATAATATCATATCTCCCCTTCTGGAAATTAGGAACAATATCATAGGGGGGTGTACACCCACTGTGATATTTGGAGTAATATCACTCTCTCCTTCCCTAAATATTACGAACAATGACACAGGAGGGTTTTCACCCCTTCTGATATTGAGAGTAATATTATCCTCTCTCCCCTGGATATTACAAAAAATATCACAAAGGGGTGTACACCCTTTGTGATATAGGGAGTAATATCCTCTTTTTCCCTGGATATCATGAACAGTATCACATAGGGGTGTAAACCTTCTGCGATATTGAGAGTAATATCCTCTCCTTGCCTGGATATTACAAACAATATCACAGGAGTTCTACACCCCCTGCCATATTGGGAGTAATATCGTCTTCTCCTTCCCTGGATATTATGAACAATATCACAGAGTGGTGTAAACCTTCTGCGATATTGGGAGTAATATCATCCTCTCTTTCCCTGGACATTACGAACAATATCACAGAGGGGTGAACACCCTCCCCAATAGGGCGAGCTATATCACCATCTACACCCCTGGATATTACGAACCATATCAAAGAAGGGAGTACACCCTCCGTGATATGGGGAGCAATATCACCCTCTCCCCTTTTGCATATTATGAACCATATCACAGGGGGCTGTACACCCTTCGCTTTATGAAGAACAATATCACCCTCTTCCCGTCTGGGTATTATGAACCATATCACAGGGGAGGGTGATCCTTCCGCGATATAAGGAGCAATATCACCCTTTCTTCCCCTGGATATTACGAACCATATCACGGGGGGTGTACACCCCCCCTGATATGAGGATAAATGTAAATTTCTCCCCCCATGAATATTATGAACCAATCCAGGGGGGTGTACCCCCACTGCGATATGGGGAGCAATATCACCCTCTAACCCCCTGGATATTACAAACCATATCACAGAGGGGTGTACACTTCTGGGTATTACGAACCATATCACAGGGGTTGTACACCCCTCGGGTTATGAAGAGCAATATTTTCCTCTTTCCTCCTGGATATTACGAACCATATCACAGGAGGATGTACGTCCCCCGCGATATGGGGAGAAATATCACCCTTTCCTTTCCTGGATATTACCAATCATATCACGGAGGGTTTACACCCCCTGCGATATGGGGAGCAATATCACTCTCTCCTCCCCTGGATATTGCGAATCATATAACAATAAGGTGTACACCTTCCTCGATGTAAGGAGCAGTATCACCCTCTCCACTCCTGGATATTACGAACCATATTACATGGGGGTGTACACTCTCCACAATATGGGCAGCAATATTACCTTTTTCTTCCCTGGATATAACGAACCATATCACAGAAGGGTGTACATCCCCTACAATATGGGGAGAAATATCACCCTCTCCCCCACCCGGATATTACAGACTATAACACAGGGGGGTGTACACACAGAATATTTACAATATCACAGAAGGGGTGTACACCCTTTGTGATATTAGGAGAAATATCATTGCCTCCCCTTCTGGATATTAGGAATGATATCACGGTGGGGGTGTTCATGCCCTGAAATACTAGGAGTAATACCTTTCTCTCCCCACCCCTGAATATTAGGAACAATATCAAATGGGGGTTTACACCTTCTGTGATTTTGAGACTAATAACCTCTCCCCCACTGGATATTAGGAAAGACATCACGAGGGAGGTGTACACCTTCTGCAATATAGAAAGTAATATCATCCTCTCCTCCTCTGAATATTAAGAACCATATCACAGGAGGAGTGCACACTCTCTGCGATATTGGGAGCAATATCATCCTCTTTCTTCCTGAATATTAGGAAGAATATCACAGGGAAAGTTATGCCTGTAATCCCAGGACTTTGGGAGGCCAAGGTGGGTGGATTATTTGAGGTCAGGAATTCAAGACCAGCCTGACCAACATGGTGAAACCCCAACTCTACTAAAAATACAAAAATTAGCCTGGTATGGTGACAGCTGCCTATAATCCCAGCTACTCCGAAGGCTGAGGCAGGAGAATCGTGCGAACCTGGGAGGCAAATGTTGCAGTGAGCCGAGATTGCGCCATTGCACTCCAGTCTGGGCGGCAGAGCAAGACTCCATCTCAAAAAAAAAAAAAAAAAAAAAAAGAATCACGGGGGGGTGTACACACCATTCGATATTGGGAGTAATATCATCCCCTTTCCCCCTAAATATTAGGAACAATATCACAGGAAGCGTGTACATCCCCTGCGATATTGGGAGTAATATCACACTTTCTTCTCCTAGGTATTACTAACAATATCACAGGGGGAGTGTACATCCCCTGCGATATTGAAAGTAATATCATCCTCTTTCTTCATGGATATTAGGAACAATATCATAAAGGTGGTGTACACCCCCTGTGATATTGGGAGTAATATCGTCCTCTCCCCCCATCGATATTAGGAACAATAACACAGGGTTGGTGTACACCCCTTGTGATATTTGGAGAAATATCATAATCTCCCCAACCTGGATATTAGGAACAATATCACAGAGGGGAGGACACCCCCTGGAATATTCACAGTAACATCATCGTTTCCTTTCCTGGATATTGGGAATAATATTATCCTCTCCACCCTGGATATTAGGAACAATATCACAAGAGGGGTGTACACCCTTTGAGATTTTGGGGGTAATATCATCCTCTCCCACCCTGGATATTAGGAACAATATCACAGGGAGGGTGTACATCCCTCTGAGATATTAAGAATAATATCGTCCTTTCCCCCATGGGTATTAGGAACAATATCACGACAGGTGTGTACACCTATTGTGATACTGGGAATAATACTATTTCACCCCCCCCCGATGTTGGGAACAATATCACGGGAGGGGGCTGTACAGCCCCTGTGATATTGGGAGTAATATCATCCTTTCATTTCTTGGATATTAGAAACAATATCACGGGGGGGGCACACTCCCTTCAATATTAAGGGCAATATCACTCTCTTTCTTCCTGAATGTTAGGAAAAATATTACAGGGGAATGTACACCTCTTGCAATATTTGGAGTAATATCTCCTCTCCTTTTCTGGATATTAGGAACTATATCAAGGGGGGGTGTACACCTTCTGCAATAGTGGTGGTAATGTCATCTTCTTTTTCCCTGGATATTAGCAACAATATAACAAGGAAGGTGTACACCCCCTGCGATGTTGAAAGTAATATTATCCTCTCCTTTTCTAGATATTATGAACAATATTACAGGGAAGGTGTACATCCCCTGCGACATTGGGAGTAATATCATCCTCTCCCATCCTGGATATTAGGAACAATATCACAGGTGGGGTGTAGACCTCATGCAATATTGGGAGTAATATCATCCTCTCCCTCTGGATATTATGAGGAATATCACAGAGGGTTTACCTACAGGGTGTTTAAGATATTGAGAGTAATATCATCCCCTCCCTAACTGGATCTTTTGAACAATATCACAGAAGGGTGTACACTTCCTGTGACATTGGGAGTAATATTATTCTTCCTCTTATGGATATTACAAATAATATCACAGGTTGGTGTACAGTCTTTGCGATATTGGGAGTAATATCATTCTCTCCCCCCCGGATATTATGAACAATATTACAGTGGGGTGTACACCCCCTGTGATGCTAAAAGTGATATCATCCTATCCCCTCCTGGGTGTTAGGAACATTGTCACAGAGGGGGCACAACCCCTGAGATATTAGGAGTAATATAATTCTCTCCCACACGGATATTACAAAAAATATCACAGAGGCTGTACACACAGGGTGTTTAGAATATTGAGAATAATGTCATCTTCTCCCTCCCTGGATATTACAATGAAGAGATAACATCCATTACTGCTGCTACAGTGGAGGTACAACTGATGGTGTTTGCATTAGTTTCCTGCCATCTGCCATCATCCTTCTGGATTTTGAAGATACCAGACTGGTGAATTCCGTGAAAGAGATGAGTGGACCAACACTCGTCTCGCAGAAGTTGGCAAGGAATACATCAATTTCCTGACCCTTGCCCTTAGGCCATTACTCTAACAGGGGTCATGGTGATGTTTCCAACCATGGGTTTTATGCCAGCAAGACCTTCATGGCCAACAGCTTCTGAAAGATAACAATACTCACCTTTGTTCAGTGCTCAGTTACCTAAGCAAATGATTGTAGGTCTTTTCCAAGGGAAGCTGGAGAATCCCAAAGTTGTATACTTCCCTTGGTTTTGCATGAACCTGCCTCATGAGAACCCAGTCTCTTTTTGAATTAGACCTTCTTATGTGAGAACTGTCTCAGGTTTTAACTGGATGAAGGATGATGACTTTATATGAGGGCTGCTGACATCTGTTTCTGTTCCTCTTGATGATTTCTATTTCCTGTTACTGAAGGGACTCACTTGTCTGCCATTTATATCTGTTGTCCCTAATGAAACATACTCTAAGAGGTAAGTGCTAGATATTGCAAAGCAGTCCTCCCCTGATGCACTCTGGCACTGGTGCCAGCTCCTTATGCCCACCTTGCATTGATGGCAAAGTGCTGGCCTCTGCCATTCCCACATCTTCTCACCACTTTGTTGCTATGAATGGAGCCCATCTCTGTAACAGTGTGGCCTGCTTTAATGTCTGACCCATGAAGAATGTCCAGCACTTGATCTTAGCCATGCTGGTGTCCCTCTCACTGGGGCAGTGGTCATGGGCAGCCTTTTTTTTTTTTTTTTTTTTTTTTGAGACGATGTTTTGGTATTGTTGCCCATGCTGGAGTGTAGCAGTGCGACTGGGGCTCACCGCCACCTCCGCCTCCCAGGTTCAAGCAATTCTCATGCCTCAGCCTCTGGAGTAGCTGTGATTACAGGCGTCTGGCACAACACCCATCTAATTTTTTGTGTTTTTAGTAGAGGCAGGGTTTCACCATGTTGGCGAGGCTGGTCTCAAACTCCTGACCTCAGGGGATTCACCCACCTTGGCTTCCCAAAGTGCTGGGATTACAGGCATGAGCCACCCTGCCTGGCCATCATGGGCAGTCTTAAGGATGATAGTCAGCTCCTGGTTCTTCTTCTATAGTAGACCCAGTCCAAGATGCCCACTGATCGAGTTTGGATCTGTGTCCCCACCCACATCTCATGTGTAATTGTAATCCCCAATGGTGGAGGTGGTCCTGGTTGGGCCGGTGAGAATTGAGTGGATCATATGGGTGGATATTTCATGAATAATTTAGCACCATCCTCTAGGTGCTGTCTGGTGATAGAGTTCTAAAAAGATCTGATTGTTCAAAAGTGTGCAGCACCTCTCCTACCACTAGCTCCAGCTCTGGCCATGGAGGATGAGCCTGATTCCCTTGTGCTTTTTGCCATGACTCTAAGTTTTCTGACGCCTCCCCAGAAGTTGAGCTGATGGCCAGCATCATCCTTTTTGTACAGCCTGTGGAACCATGAGCCAATTAAACCTGAGTTTTTATAATTAATTACCCAGTCTCAGGTAATTCTTTATAGTAATGCATGAAAAGACTAATACATGTACTTCTGAACCATGTTATTCTTTACCCCAAAGCTATACATCCTTGCAATTCTGTGCTGATCCTAACCACCTGCAGTGAGCCCACACTCCTCAGGTTCTGGGCAAATTTTTCCACCAGCCTAACCTCACATCCAATGCTAGCCCCAGTTTTGCGATCTCAGGCCACTCACACTAATCTAAAACTTGCTGCAAATTCAAAAGGTCCCATCACTCTCAGGATGACTATTCAGATAGCAACACTCATGGAACTAAAAAAAATCACTGGGGTGGGGATCACATCCCGGCATTTATAGAGTGACTACATCCCAGACATGTGAAGAAAACTGAGGAGGGAACCCCAAGGGCTTGAAAGACCTTGCCGAGTGTGGAGCCCTGAAGTGCACATACCACTCGGTTGTCCCCCAGGGGCCTGGGAACCTTGCCAAGTGCGGGGTCTCTAGAGCAGAATCCACACCGCTGGGGAGGTGGATTTCAGGCCAGAAACCTTCAGGGACCTGGAGTCCCAACACATGCTAAAAACAGGGGTAGGGGCACAGATATGAAAGATTTTGGAGTATTTGGAGCCCAGAAGAGAAAACTGAAGGTGGCAGCGTGGAGCGCTCAGAAGATGGCGGAGACCATGGAGCCCAAAAAATCCAGAAAAAGAGGCGGGGACAGGGGATGGACCTCAGAAGCATTCAGAACGCACAGGGCCCCCTCCAAGGTCGCTTTCACACTGCCAAGGCTTCCTCTGCAGCTGCAGAGCTGCACTTTTCCTCTGTCCCAACAAAAATATGTCCCTTGAAGGTCTCATCTCCCATGGACTGGATCTGGATCTGGGCCTCATTTATCCAGGGGCCTCAGTCCTCAAGGAGGCCATTGTCACTCTGCTTCCCGATAAAGTCCTCTTAAGTTAGTAAATGCCCCTCAAGGGACCCATGGTTTGTCCTTATTCCTCCCTGAGTCTTCTCCTTCTGAGGGAGGAAGTTTTCAAACACCCCCAGGATTTACTGCCAGAATTTCACCCTCTGAAACCTCCTCCTTCCCTAGATCCAGTCCAGCTCCTCATCCTCAGCCCCCCAGACCCCATGGAGGTGTCCCATGCAATGGGTTTTTTCTAGATTGACAGCCTCCCCTCCTCAGCGTACAACTCAGAGACTCACCCTGTTCTGAGCAGCGAGCCACCGCATAAGCAGACATGAGACCTCACTCCAGCCAAATAACACTTTATTTTTGTAGTTTCAATGCTTTTCTTCCCCGAGGAAAGGGAGGAGCTCAGGAGAACAGTGTCATCAAAATTTCCTGGTGGTTGTTTAATCACAGCAGCAGAGTAGGTCAGGAAACTCTTCCAGATTACCCTCTTCCTCCTGAAATTAAAGGAAACATGCACGACTCATGAACTGATAAGGTTTCCCAACAATTGTGCGAATATCCTGCTGGATTTATGAGCTGAAAGTAAACCTGAATGACTTGTGCTGCTTGTCCAGGCATTATCTTCTTCAGGAAATATGAGATGTTGTTTGGAAGCATTTCAGAAGCAAGGGAAGCTGCTTTGTTGAATACATAGATGAGCATCTTCTTGATTAGAAACTTCAACCCAGCGATTAAGGGTCTCGTTACTAGTTTTGAGACATATGTCATTAATTGGTCGGCAAACCATTTTTTTATCACATCCATCAGAAAATCGACCACTTTCTCCACTAGCATTTCCATGGCCATGTTCATTATAAGTGAAGTAAATGAGCTCACAAAAAGTGTAATGAGTGTTCTGTCGGTTTCACGTAAAGATATATAATGGTATCGTCCCTGGAGAGCGTGGCCATTTTATGGGAGGTGACGTGGAGGGGGCGGGCCAAGATGGCCAATTAGAAGAGGCTGCCTTCCACTGAATTAAAGTCTCAGTGAATTTCACGATAAGCACGTGAACTGAAATATTCAGGTTCTCACATTGGGACTGACTAGGCAAACAACTTGACCCAGGAGAACAAAGAAAACAGGGGTGGGTGATGAACCACGCTATATTGGAACAGAGCCAAAGGAACCTTCTTGCACAGCCAAGAGAAGCCATGAGTGTGTGACCCCGCCCCAGAAACCATTTTTCTCCCTTGGATCTTTGCAACCAAGAAATCAGGAGATCCTCCCATGGGCTGAGTCACGGCGGCCTTGGGCCTAGTACACAGGGCTGTGTGGAGTGTTGGCAGAGCAGCTGCTCAGACACAGACCGAGACCCAGGAGGTTTACACAATCTAGCCTTGAGAAACCAGGAAAGGTGGGAGTTCCGTTGGTACATTCCCCCAGTAAGGGGGCTGAATTCAGGTGTTATACGAGTTGTTAAGAAATTATTTTGGGCAGACAGGGAGGAAAAGGGGTCCTTGGGAAGTTTTGTTTCTTCTTAAAGCAGCTCCAGAAATGAGTCTTGTCTAGCAGGAAAGCCCCGGCTTTTAGAGTTCTCCGGTAACCTTGATCTGCAGATGCCGGCCATTAGAAACTGGGTCCACCCAAACATAGCGATTCCCGCCCTCTTCTGGCCCTTGTCCCCACCTGTGCCTGGCGATATGGCCACCCCCATATATCCCCATGAGTGTAGGAAATCAGGGTGTCCGGCACGTGCATATTCAAAGGCTAGGTGGGAGGGCCAGTTTTTCCGTGGGCCACATAAATGACATGCCTGGTCGAACCAATCGCCTGAACCCTATGCAAATCAGACACCACCCCCTCCAGTTTCTTCATATAACTCATTGGTATCCACAGCACTCCGGGTTTCCTCTTTTGGCTTTGGAGCCCCCCTCCCTCTGTCTCAGTATGGGGAGCTCTTCCTTCGTTCTTGCCTATTAAACTGCACGCCATAAAACCACTGTACATGTGTTTGTGTCATTTTCTCCAATTCTGTGTGAGACATGAGCCCTGGTGTTCCTCCACTCATCACAGCCATATCACAGGGAGCCAGACAGCCTCATCCTGTGGTCCCCATCATCACAGCACTTCTCAAGTCCCACGGGCTTGGAATACCAGCCAAGCAGTGGCAAGATAGCAAGCCAAGTGCCTGAGACTACCGAGTTCTGGGTGGTTGGGGCGGCCACCGTCTCTGTTTCCGTAGACTCAGACAATCTAGCCTTCGGGCTCCAGGGAGGGCAGCTGGTCTGGAGCAGGAGGGGTCCCCCACAAGGCAGCACTGCTGCTGTGCCTGATAGTGGCCAGACTGTTTCTTTAAATTTGACCTTGATTCATCCCTCCTCACTGGGAAGGTCCTCCCTGTTGGAATTTCAGGAACTCCAGCCAGGGTTATAGGGTTGGTGGGAAGCCTGATCTCTTTCTGGGTTGGAGGTCCTCCGGGGATGGGCGGCTGCCATCTTTGTAATTGTGGACTCAACCTTTTCAGCTGAAGCAAATGAACAAAGCTGGGAGCATCACATTTCCTAACTCTAAAATATATTACACAGCCATAGTCACCAATACAGCATGGTACAGGTATAAATGTGGACACACAGATTGATGTAACAGACGAGAGAATCCAAAATGAAAGCCACACATTCATAGGCAACTGATCTTTGACAAAGCTGACAAGAATATACACTAGGGAAAGCACACCCTTTTCAATAATTGGTACTGGGACAGTTGCATTGTCATATGCGGAAGAATAAATCTGAACTCCTATTTCTTACCATGTTTACAAAAATCAATTTAAAGTGAATTATAGACTGAAATGTATGTACTGAAATGGTCAAAATATCAGAAGAAACTTAGGGAAAACTCTTCTGGTCATTGTCCAGTAAAGAGTTCACGAGTAAGACTTCAAAAGTACAGGCAACAAAACCAAAAAGAGACCAATGTAAATTTAAACCAAACTAAAAATTTTAATTAAATTAAAAAGCCATACACCATTTTTCTATCTCATCCCTAAGAAAATGGACCACGTCATCCACTAGCATTTCCATGGCACCTTCATTATAGGCGAAGTAAGTGAGCCCATGATAAGTGTAATGAGCCTTCTGTTTATTTCAGGCGAAGTTAAGTAATGGATATTCCTGGAGTGGTGTGGATTTTACAGAAAGTGACGTGAAGTGGGCAGGCCAAGATGCCCAATGAGAAGCAGCTGTCTTCCCCTGAATGAAAAGCACGGTGAATTCAGCACCTTGAACTGAAGTATCCAGGTTCCTACATTGGGACTGATTAGGCAAATGACTTGACCCAGGAGAAGAAACAAAGGGGGTGGGTGATGGTGCACCCAGTATCAGCACAGAGCCAAAGAAACCTTCACCTACAGCCAAGAGAAGCAGTAGTGAATGCACAACCCCTACCCACAAACCATGTTTCTCCCATGCATCTTTGCCACGCATGGATCAGAAGATCCTCCCATTAGCTCATGCCATAAGGGTCTTGGGTCAGATACACAGAGCCGTGTCGAATGTTGCCAGAGCACTCGCTCAGACACTCACAGAGACTCAGGAGTTTTATATACTTGGAAAGCTGGGCAAGGCGGGAGTTCCATCTGTACATTCCCTTAGAAAAGGGGCTGAATCCAGGGAGCCAAGCAGCCTCATTCCGTGGGCCCCACTTCCACAGCACCTCTCAAGTTAAGACCCACTGGCTTGGAATAGCAGCCAACCAGTGGCAATCGGCTGGAGACTGCCTGAGACTACAGTTTTCTGGGGAGGTGAGGGCGGCCTCCATTTCTGTGTTTCCATGGACTCAGACATTCTAGCCTGCAGGCTCCAGGGAATCCAGGTGGTCTGGTCCCCCACAAGGCAGCACAGCTGCTGTGCCTGATTGTGGCCAGACAGATTCCTTAAGTAGGACCTTCATTCATCCCCCCTCACTGGGTAGGGCCTCCCTTTGGGAATTTCAGGAGTTCCAGCCATGGTTATATGGTCAGTGGGAGCCATGATCTTTTTCCGGGAAGGAGCCCTGCGAGGAGGGGCAGCTTCATCTCTGCAGCTGTTGACTCAGCCTTTCTGAAGCAAATAAACAAAGCTGGGAGCATCACATTTCTTGACTTCAAATTATATTACAAAGCCATCATCACCAATACAGCATGGTAGTAGTATACAGATAGACACACAGATTGATGTAACAGACTAGAGAGCCCAGAAAGAAAGCCACACATTTATAGCCAACTGATCTTTGACAAAGCTGATAAGAATATACGTTGAGGAAAGCACACCCTTTTCAATAATTGGTGCTGGAACAATTGAATTGTCATTTGCAGAAGAATAAACCTGGACTCCTATTTCTCACTATTTCTACAAAAATCAATTGAAGATGAATTATAGACTTAAATATATGTACTGAAATAATAAAAATGTGAGAAGAAACCTAGAGAAAACTCTTCTGGTTATTGTCTAGTAAAGAGTTCAAGAGTATGACTTCAAAAGTACAGGCAACAAAACCAAAAATCGACCAGTGCAAATTTAAACCAAACTGAAAATTTTAATTATATAAATTCAAAAGCTTTACTGAAACAAAAAGCTGCTGCACAGCCAAAGAAATAATCCTCTCAACAGAGTGAGCAGACAAACTGCAGAACGGAAGAAATTATTTGTAAACTTTTCCTTTGACAAAAGACTAATACCGAGAGTAAACAAAGATCTCAACTACAACAGAAAACTCCAAAGAATCCCATTAAAAAGTCGGCAAAGGACATAAAGAGACTTTTTTATTTTTTATCTTATTTATTTATTCATTTGTTTTTATGAGACAGGTCTTTCTCTATTACCCATGCTGTAGTGCAGTGCCATGATCTTGGCTCACTGCGACCTGTGCCTACCGGGTTCAAGCAATTCCTGTGCCTTAACCTCCTGAGTAACTTGCACCACAGGCACGAGTCACAGCCCGTGGCTGATTTTTTGTATTTTTAGTAAAGATGGGGTTTTGCCTTGTTGGCCAGGTTGATTTCTGCCTCTTTGCCTCAAGTGATCCATTGGCCTCAGCCTCCCGAAGTTCTGGGGTTACAGGCATGCTCAACCGCACCTGGACAGGAGTCAGTTTTTAAAAGAGCACATATAAATGGCCAAAAGGTATTTCAAAGAAATTCTCCACACCATGAATCGTCAGAGAAATGGTCATTAAAACCACATTGAGGTTGGGTGCGCTGCCTCATGACTGTAATTCCAACACTTTGGGAGGCTGAGGCAGGTGTATGATGAGCTCAAGAGACTGTGATCATCCTGGCCAACATGGTGAAACCCTGTCTTTACTAAAAATACAAAAAATGAGCCAGGCCTGTTGGCACGCGCCTGTAGTCCCAGCTACTCGGGAGGCTGAGGCAGGAGAATTGCTTGAACCCGGGAGGTGGAGGTTGCAGCAAGCCACGATCACACCACTGCACTCCAGTCTGGCAACAGAGTGAGACCCCGTCTCAAAAATATCAACAACCACCACAATGAGATATCTTACTCCAGTCAGAATGGGTATTATGAAAAAGACAAAAACATAACAAATGTTAGTGAGAATGTGGAGAAAAGGGGAAATCTTATGCATTGTTGTTGGGAATGTAAATTAGCGCAGATTTTATGGCAAACACTATGGAGATTTCTGAAAGAACAAAAAATATAACAACTACTCAGTCCTGCAGTTGCAGTACTGGGTACCTACTCAAAGGAATAGATCAAAATGCACACAAATATTTGCTGCAGCATTATTTACAGTAGCAAAGACATGGAATCACCCTACATGTCAATCAACAGAAGAATAAATAAAGAAAATGTGGTATGTATACATACAGGAATACTATTCAGTTATAAAACAGTGAAAATCATGTCTTTTGCAGCAACCTGGAAGGAACTGGAGGTCATTATTTTGGGTAAAACAAGCCAGGCAGAGAATCCCAAATATCACATTTTTCAGGACCAGCAGGGTATTTCACACCTGTAATTCCCATGCTTTTCCAAAACAGTATAAGAGAATTGCTTGATGACTGGGTGACACAGTGAGACCCTATCTCTGCAAAAACAATATATGTGTATATATATATATATATGGAGAGAGAGAAATCAGCTGGGCATGGAAGCTGGGACTACAGGTGCGTGCCACCACACCCGGGTAATTTTTTTGTGTGTTTTTAGTAGAGATTGGGTATCAACAGGTTGCTCTGAGTGGTCGTGAACTCCTGAGCTCAGGCAATCTGCCCTCCTTGGCCTCCCAAAGTGCTGGGATTACAGGTGTAAGCCACCACTCACAGTCTTCCTTCCTTCCTCCCTTCAGGTGATTGCTCAGATGCTGCTTATTCTTGGAGGATATCCCTGACCAACTTATAGAATTAGCGGGAACCTTATGGTTGACACATTTCCTATGTTCCTCACCTGCTTTCTTTTCTTGTGGAGGACTTACAGCTGTCTGAAATACAGCATGTTTCTTTCTTGATTGCCTTTCTCTCCTCCCGAGAATATCAGTTGCACGAGGCCAGTGACTGTTTCTCTCTTTTCTGAGTCTCCTGCAACCACCGGTAGCATACACATAGTGTATCCTTAATATCTCCTTGTTCAAAAGGTGAATTTCTTGAAGCTGGGGGGCAGAGGTTGCAGTGAGCTGAGATTGTGCCACTTGATTCCAGCCTGGGCGTAAGAGCAAAACTTGGTTTCTGGCTGGGGGGAAAAAGGATAAATTTCTCTATTCATGAAAAATTGGACATTGGGAATCAAGTATAGCCACCTTAGTTTTTCAGTGATAATTCCAGCCCTGTCAACTTGTAGGAATCATGTACGATGGTTCCCTTTGCTGGAGGCTATTGCTGTGTAATAAAATATCCCTAATTAGTAGGAAAGAATAACCATCATTGATTTGTGCTCACAAATGCTGTGAACAAGAGGTTCTGATGAGGAGAGTGGAGATGACTTCTCTGTGTGATCTCAGCTCACTGCAACATTTGTCTCCCAGGTTCAAGCTTCTCCTGCCTCAGCCTCCCAAGTAAATTGGATTACAGGCACATGCCAGCATGCTTGGCTAATTTTTGTATTTTTAGTAGAGACAGGGTTTCATCATGTTGACCAGGCCGGTCTCAAACTCCTGACCCCAGGAGATCAGCTCGCCTCAGTCTCTCAAAGTGCAGGAAATACAGATGTACACCACTACACCCACTCTTAAGTTTTTACTTATGAATAATAACACTGACAGTGTTCTAAATTCTCTAAATGGTCAAATGGATAAAGAAATAAGACCCAACTTATGGTGCCTTAAAGAAATCAACTTCATCTATAGAGACACCGAAAGGGAAATGAAAACAGGGAAATGGAAAAGGATATTTCATGAAGCTGGAAACCAAAAAAGTGCCAGAGTAGCTATTCTCATATTAGATAAAATAGACTAAAATCACAGACTGTAACAACAAAAGACAAGGAGGGTCACTAGTTAATGATAAAGAGGTAAATCGGCAAGAGGATACCACAATGATTAATACCTAGGTACGTGACACCAGTTTTTTCAAATGTAAAAAGCAAACATAGATTGCCATTCCAAGATGGCCGAATAGGAGCAACTCCGGTCTGCAGCTCCCAGCCTGATCCACACAGAAGATGGGTGATTTCTGCATTTCCAACTGAGGTACCTTGTTCATCTCATTGGGCTGGTTGGACAGTGGATGCAGCCCATGGAGGGCTAGCTGAAGCAGGGTGGGGCATTGCGTCACCGGGAAGCACAAGGGGTTAGGGGATTTACCTTTCCTAGATGAGGGAACCCGTGACAGACTGTACTGGGAAAATTGGGACACTCCCACCTTAATACTGTGCTTTTCCAATGGTCTTAGCAAATGGCACACCAGGAGATTATATCCTGTGCCTGGCTCAGTGGGTCCCACGCCCATGGAGCCTCGCTCACTGCTAGCACAGCAGTCTGAGATGGAACTGCAAGGCGGCAGACTGGGTGGGGGAGGGGTGTTCACCATTTCTGAGGCTTCAGTAGGTAAACAAAGTGGTCTGGAAGCTCGAACTGGGAGGAGCCCACCGCAGCTCAATGAGGCCTGCCTGCCTCTGTAGACTCCATCTGTAGGGGCAGGGCATAGCTGAATAAAAGGCAGCAGAAATTTCTGCAGACTTAAACATCCCCATCTGACAGCACTGAAGAGAGCAGTGGCTCTCCTAGCATAGTGTTTGAGCTCTGTGAATGGACAGGCTGCCTTCTCAAGTGGGTCCCTAACCCCCATCTAGCCTAACTGGGAGACACCTCCCAGTAGGGGCCAACTGACACCTCATACAGCCAGGCACCCCTTTGAGACGAAGCTTCCAGAGGAAGGATCAGGCAGCAATATTTGCTGTTGTGCAATATTTGCTATTCTGCAGCCTCCGCTGGTGATACCCAGGCAAACAGGGTCTGGAGTGGACCTCCGGCAAACTCCAACAGACCTGCAGCTGAGGAACCTGACTGTTCGAAGGAAAACTAACAAACAGAAAGGAACAGCATCAACATCAACAAAAAGGACATCCACACCAAAACCCCATCTCTAGGTCACCATTATCAAAGACCAAAGGTAGATAAAACCACAAAGATGGGGAGAAACCAGAGCAGAAAAGCTGAAAATTCTATAAACCAGAGCACCTCTTCTCCTCCAAAGGATCGCAGCTCCTCACCAGCAATGGAACAAAGCTGGATGGAGAATGACTTTGACAAGTTGACAGAAGCAGGCTTCAGAAGGTCAGTAATAACAAACATCTCTGAGCTAAAGGGGATGTTCAAACCCATCACAAGGAAGCTAAAAACCTTGAAAAAAGATTAGACGAATGGCTAAGTAGAGAAAACAATGTACAGAAGACCTTAAATGACCTGATAGAGCTGAAAACCATGGCATGAGAACTACATGATGCATGCAATACCTTCAGTAGCCGATTTGATGAAGTGGAAGAAAGTATATAAGTGAATGAAGATCAAATTAATGAAATGAAGTGAGAAGAGAAGTTTAGAGGAAAGAGAGTAAAAAGAAACAAACAAAGCCTCCAAGAAATATGGAACTATGTGAAAAGATTAAATCTACGTTTGATTAGTGTACCTGAAAGTGATGGGGAGAATGGAACCAAGCTGGAAAACACTCTTCAGGATATTACCCAGGAGAACTTCTGCAACCTAGCAAGGCAGGCCAACATTCAAATTCAGGAAATACAGAGAATGCCACAAAGATACTCCTCAAGAAGAGCAACTCCAAGACACATAATTGTCAGATTCACCAAAGTTGAAATGAAGGAAAAAATGTTAAGGGCAGCCAGAGAGAAAGGTCGGGTTACCCACAAAGGGAAGCCCATCAGACTAACGGCTGATCTCTTGGCAGAAACTCTAGAAGCCAGAAGACAGTGGGGGCCAATATTCAACATTCTTAAAGAAAAGAATTTTCAACCCAGAATTTCATATCCAGCCAAACTAAGCTTCATAAGTGAAGGAGAAATAAAATCCTTTACAGACAAGCAAATGCTGAGGGATTTTGTCACCACCAGACCTGCCCTAAAAGAGCTCCTGAAGGAAGCGCTAAACATGGAAAGGAACAGTCAGTACCAGCCACTGCAAAAACATGCCAAATTGTAAAGACCATCAAGGCTAGGAAGAAACCGCATCAACCAATGAGCAAAATAACCAGCTAACATCATAACGACAGGATCAAATTCACACATAACAATATTAACCTTAAATGTAAATGGGCTAAATGCTCCAATTAAAAGACACAGACTGGCAAATTGGATAAAGAGTCAAGACCCATCAGTGTGCTGTATTCAGGAAACCCATCTCACGTGCAGAGACACACATAAGCTCAAAATAAAGGGATGGAGGAAGATCTACCAAGAAAATGGAAAACAAAAAAAGGCAGGTGTTGCAATCCTAGTCTCTGATAAAACAGGCTTTAAACCAACAAATATCGTAAGAGACAAAAAAGGCCATTACATAATGGTAAAGGGATCAATTCAACAAGAAGAGCTAACTATCCTAAATATATATGCACCCAATACAGGAGCACCCAGATTCATAAAGCAAGTCCTGAGTGACCTACAAAGAGACTTAGACTCCCACACAATAATAATGGGAGACTTTAACACCCCACTGTCAACATTAGACAGATCAATGAGACAGAAAGTTAACAAGGATACCCAGGATTTGAACTCAGCTCTGCACCAAGCGGACCTAATAGACATCTACAGAACTCTCCACCCCAAATCAACAGAATATACATTTTTTTCAGCATCACACCACACCTATTCCAAAATTGACCACATACTTGGAAGTAAAGCTCTCCTCAGCAAATGTAAAAGAACAGAAATTATAACAAACTGTCTCTCAGACCACAGTGCAATCAAACTAGAACTCAGGATTAAGAAACTCACTCAAAACCGCTCAACTACATGGAAACTGAACAACCTGCTCCTGAATGACTACTGGGTACATAACAAAATGAAGGCAGAAATAAAGATGTTCTTTGAAACCAACGAGAAAAAAGACACAACATACCACAATCTCTGGGACACATTCAAAGCAGTGTGTAGAGGGAAATTTATAACACTAAATGCCCACAAGAGAAAGCAGGAAAGATCCAAAATTGACACCCTAACATCACAATTAAAAGAACTAGAAAAGCAAGAGCAAACACATTCAAAAGCTAGCAGAAGGCAAGAAATAACTAAAATCAGAGCAGAACTGAAGGAAATAGAGACACAAAAAACCCTTCAAAAAATTAATGAATCCAGGAGCTGGTTTTTTAAAAGGATCAACAAAATTGATAGACCGGTAGCAAGACTAATAAAGAAAAAAAGAGAGAAGAATCAAATAGATGCAATAAAAAATGATAAAGGTGATATCACCACTGATCCCACAGAAATACAAACTACCATCAGAGAATACTACAAACACCTCTACGCAAATAAACTAGAAAATCTAGAAGAAATGGATAAATTCCTGGACACATACACCTTCCCAAGACTAAACCAGGAAGAAGTTGAATCTCTGAATAGAGCAATAACAGGATCTGAAATTGTGGCAATAATCAATAGCTTACCAACCAAAAACAGTCCAGGACCAGATGGATTCACAGCCCAATTCTACCAGAGGTACAAGGAGGAACTGGTACCATTCCTCCTGAAACTATTCCAATCAATAGAAAAAGAGGGAATCCTCCCTAACTCATTTTATGAGGCCAGCATCATCCTGATACCAAAGCCAGGCAGAGACACAACCAAAAAAGAGAATTTTAGACCAATATCCTTGATGAACATTGATGCAAAAGTCCTCAGTAAAATACTGGCAAACCGAATCCAGCAGCACATCAAAAAGCTTATCCACCATGATCAAGTGGGCTTCATCCCTGGGATGCAAGGCTGGTTCAATATATGCAAATCAATAAATGTAATCCAGCATATAAACAGACCCAAAGACAAAAACCACATGATTATCTCAATAGATGCAGAAAAGGCCTTTGACAAAATTCAACAACCCTTCATGCTGAAAACTCTCAATAATTAGGTATTGATGGGACATATCTCAAAATAATAAGAGCTATCTATGACAAACCCACAGCCAATATCATACTGAATGGGCAAAAACTGGAAGCATTCCCTTTGAAAACTGGCACAAGACAGGGATGCCCTCTCTCACCACTCCTATTCAACATAGTGTTGGAAGTTCTGGCCAGGGCAATTAGGCAGGAGAAGGAAATAAAGGGTATTCAATTAGGAAAAGAGGAAGTCAAATTGTCCCTGTTTGCAGACGACATGATTGTATATCTAGAAAACCCATTGTCTCAGCCCAAAATCTCCTTAAGCTGATAAGCAACTTCAGCAAAGTCTCAGGATACAAAATCAATGTACAAAAATCACAAGCATTCTTATACACCAATAACAGACAAACAGAGAGCCAAATCATGAGTGAACTCCCATTCACAATTGCTTCAAAGGGAATAAAATACCTAGGAACCCAACTTACAAGGGATGTGAAGGACCTCTTCAAGGAGAACTAAAACCACTGCTCAATGAAATAAAAGAGGATACAAACAAATGGAAGAACATTCCATGCTCATGGGTAGGAAGAATCAATATCGTGAAAATGGCCATACTGCCCAAGGTAATTTATAGATTCAATGCCATCCCCATCAAGCTACCAATGACTTTCTTCACAGAATTGGAAAAAACTACTTTAAAGTTCACATGGAACCAAAAAAGACCCCGCATTGCAAAGTCAATCCTAAGCCAAAAGAGCAAAGCTGGAGGCATCATGCTACCTGACTTCAAACTATACTACAAGGCTACAGTAACCAAAACAGCATGGTACTGGTACCAAAACAGAGATATAGACCAATGCAACAGAACAGAGTCCTCAGAAATAATGTCACATATCTACAACTATCTGATCTTTGACACACCTGACAAAAACAAGAAGTGGGGAAAGGATTCCCTATTTAATAAATGGTTCTGGGAAAACAGGCTAGCCATATGTAGAAAGGTGAAACTGGATCCCTTCCTTACACCTTATACAAAAATTAATTCAAGATGGATTAAAGACTTACATGTTAGACCTCAAACCATAAAAACCCTAGAAGAAAACCCAGGCATTTCCATTCAGGTCATAGGCACGGGCAAGGACTTCATGTCTAAAACACCAAAAGCAATGGCAACAAAAGCCAAAATTGACAAATGGGATCTAATTAAACTAAAGAGCTTCTGCACAGCAAAAGAAACTACCATCAGAGTGAACAGGTAACCTGCAGAATGGGAGAAAATTTTCACAACCTACTCATCTGACAAAGGGCTAATATCCAGAATCTACAATGAACTCAAACAAATTTACAAGAAAAAAACAAACAACCCCATCAAAAAGTGGGTGAAGGATATGAACAGACATTTCTCAAAAGAAGACATTTATGCAGCCAAAAAACACATGAAGAAATGCTCATCATCACTGGCCATCAGAGAAATGCAAATCAAAGCCACAGTGAGATACCATCTCACACCAGTTAGAATGGCGATCATTAAAAAGTCAGGAAACAACAGGTGCTGGAGAGGATGTGGAGAAATAGGAACACTTTTACACTGTTGGTGGGACTGTAAACTAGTTCAACCACTGTGGAAGTCAGTGTGGCGATTCCTCAGTGATCTAGAGCTAGAAATACCATTTGACCCAGCCATCCCATTACTGGGTATATACCCAAAGGATTATAAATCATGCTGCTATAAAGACACACGCACACGTATGTTTATTGCGGCACTCTTCACAATAGCAAAGACTTGGAACCAACCCAAATATCCAACAATGATAGACTGGATGAAGAAAATGTGGCACATATACACCATGGAATACTATGCAGCCATAAAAAATGATGAGTTCGTGTCCTTTGTAGGGACATGGATGAAGCTGGAAACCATCATTCTCAGCAAACTATCACAAGGACAAAAAACCAAATACCGCATGTTCTCACTCATAGGGGGGAACTGAACAATGAGAACACATGGACACAGGAAGGGGAACATCACACACCGGGGACTGTTGTGGGGTGGGGGAGGGGGGAAGGATAGCATTAGGAGATATACCTAATGCTAAATGACGAGTTAATGGGTGCAGCACACCAACTTCACACATGTATACATATGTAACAAATCTGCACGTTGTGCACATGTACCCTAAAACTTAAAGTATAATAATAATAAAATTAAAAATGAAATGAAATAAAATAAAATAATGTGTTGTAAGATGGTATTTGCAAACTTCACGGTCACCTCCAACCAAAAAAACCTACTATTTTCTTTTATTATACTTTATTTATTTACAGATGATGTATTTATTTACATCATTATTTACAGATTTACAGATGATGTATTTATTTACATCATTATTTACAGATGATGTATTTATTTACAGATGATGTATGATATCTCCTTTAAGTGGGTAAAAATTTGAGAGCAGAAAACTCTTGTTTTGTTTGTTGCCATATCCATAACACCTGGCCCAAGGCCTGGCATGAAGTAGCTGCTTTGTCAATATGCCATTGAATGAATATTTGAATGAATGAATGAACTATGTGGTTTGGGTAATCCTCACTGAGAAGATTACATGCAAGCTGAGACCTGAATGATAAAAGAAGATCATTCAGGAGATCTGGGAGATCTGGGTGAAGAGGATATGGCTTGAAGCCACTGCACGTGCAAAGGCCCTGAGGCAGGGGTGAGCTTCGCAGGGAGGTGGAGCAGCAGGCAGGAGGCCAGTGTGGATGAATCCAAGGGAGTGAGGGGAAGAGTGGGAAAGGATGAGGGCCAGGTCTAGACCAGGATGAGGCACAGAAGGGTTTTGCCACTTTCTCCACTGACAGTGAAGCCTTCGTGCTCACCCTGTGAGTATGGGTGCACGTGTGATGTCGACAACTAAGGTGTGTGGGGAAGGTGAATTTATTTGAATTTATTCAAAACTTGATAAGCAAATTTATGAAAAGTTAACTTATCTTGTCTTATCAACCCAGGACTAATGTTTCAATAATTAGCTTGGAAAAATGAGGAGTTAGCCTCTATGACTTGTGTAATAGCAGTGAAAGCTCTCTGTTCCAGGTTAGGGAGGGATGGAGTAGCCCAGTTTCAGACCCCAAGTGGGTGAAGAGGTGTCCATGGGAGAGTGTCTCAGTGTGAGTGTCAGAGCCCATACAAGAGTAGAGCCCTCCATGGAGGTGCCACTTGGGGTGGGACCTCAGAGTCCGAGCAGGCCATGAGGCCATCCACACAGGGGCAGTCCAGCACATGGAGTCAGAGTCAGGCATGGAGAAAAGGACATCATTAATAGGGCCTCTGGATGTCATACCCTTCTCAGACTAAGTATTTCTGCCCTAATTATATACCAGGATCTGACCCTCTTGCAGATGATAGTCAATGATTCTTGACAGGAGAGTAATTGCACCACTTTTCTGGTGGTCTCTTGACGCAAGAGAACAAACACACTGAAAAGAAATGGCAAGTCAACGTTTAAAGCAACTTCTTTGTCCCTTGTTGAAACCATTCTCTTTCTGGGGTATAGACCTCTAAACCCAGAACTCTAACATCTTTTTTGTTCGTTTTTTGTTTTTTTTTTCAAGACAGAAGTTTTGTTCTGCTTGCCCAGGTGGAGTGCAAAGGCAGGATCGGGTCACTGCAGTCTCTGCCTTTTGGGTTCAAGCGATTCTCCAGCCTCAGCCTCCCGAGCAGCTGGGATTACAGGTGCTGGCCCCAATACCTTGCTAATTTTTGTATTTTTAGTAGGGACGGGGTTTCACCATCTTGGCCAGGCTGGTCTCGAACTTTTGGCCTCAGTGGATTCACCTGTCTAGGCCTCCCAAAGTGTTGGCAGTACAGGTGAAAGCCACTGCACCCAGCCCACAACACTAAAATCTACAAGGATGGGAAGCCCAAAGCTTTCAAATGGGCTTCGTGGATGAAGGTGAATGAGTGGGAATATTCCCATTTCCCCCATCTGGATCACAGGCCCATGTGTTCCAACTTGTAGAAATACAGGACCATAAAATGGCATTTTCCTTTTTATTAGAGGATATGCCCAGCATGCCTCAGGCTGTTGCATTTCTGAACACTTCACAGATATGGCACATCGCTGAAAGGCAGAGACATGGAAAATCCCCATGACCATCAAACTCTTACACTTCAGTATAGATTTGTTATGAGCAGAGCTAGGACTACAAGGAATGTCATTCTCACCATTGGATGTCATTGGTATCAGTGTCGACAGGTATGCACTTTCAGCCTTTGGAACTCGCTGTGTGATCCTTAGGTTTTCAGAAACCTTACCATTTCCTGTCCATCAGACCTGGTAATGACATTGTTATCAGTAGAATGGAGATTGGGCTGGGTGCAGTGGCTCAGGCTTGTAATCTCAGCACTTTGAGGCCAAGGTGCTTGGATCACTTACGCTCAGGAGTTTGAGTCCAGCCTGAATAACATGGTGAGAGCACGTCTCTACAAAATATACAAAAACTAGCCCAGCATGTCGCTGTGTGTCTGTAGTTCAAGCCACTTAGGAGGCTGAGGTGAGAGGATGCCTTGAGCCTGGAAGCTCAAGACTACAGTCAGCCCAGATAGCCCCACTGTACGTCAGCCTGGCTGATGGAGTAAGATGTTGTCTCATCAACAACAACAACAACAACAAAATTTGAATGGAGAATGGAGCTGTGTATTATGTTGCAGAATGTTCTGATGGGCTTGGTTCCTCAGGACTACTTGGATGGCTAATGAGAGAGACGGGAAGACAGAGAGCTTGAGATTGTGAATAAATACTGCTGTTGTTCTCATGTCAATGCCAATATTACAGATCCACCTTCCTGAAGAGTTTTGCAAAACATGGATTTTGCAGACCAACAATGCATACAGTGTGACCGAGGTTGTGTTATTTATTGCTATGGTGAGAGAAAACATCCATCACAGCTGCTACAGTGGGGTCACACCTGATGACGTTTGCATTACCTTCCTGCCATCTGCCATCATCCTTCTGGATTTTGAAGATACCAGACTGGTGAATTCCATGAAACAGATGACTGGACCCACAGCACTGGTCCTTGAGTTTTTGATGGTGGTGCTCATCTCTGCCATCTATATACAGGAAATAATTTGCCTTGAGATTTGATATTGGTTTTTATTGATTATGTTGTCTTGGATGAGCATTGATAGACTTAGGCTTTCCATTTGCAATTGTTTTTTTCCTAAAATTATAAGTCATAGCTCACAGGCCACAAAAACACTGTAAGTATTTTTCCTGTTTCTAAGTCTATGACTCCTGATTATACATGAGAGCCTAGGAACATAACCACAGAGGAGAGAGGTTCACAAACAGAGTTCACTCACTTAGAGGCAGAAGTTGGCAAGGAATACATCAATTTCCTGACCCCCACCCTTAGGCCATTACTCTAACAGGGGTCATGGTGATGTTTCCAAACCATGGGTTTTATGCCAACAAGGCCTTCTTGGCCAAGAGCTTCTAAAAGACAACAATACTCACCTTTGTTCAGTGCTCAGTTACCTAAGCAAATGACTGTAGGTCTTTTCCAAGGGAAACTGGAGAATTCCAAACTTGTACACCTTCCTTGGTTTTGCATAAACCTGCCTCATGAGAACCCAGCCTCTTTTTGAGTTAGGCCTTCTCGTGTGAGAACTGTCTCAGATTTTAACTGTATGAAGGATGATGACTTTCTAAGGGGCTGCTGACATCTGCCTTCTGTTCCTCTTGATGATTTCTATTTCCTGTTAATGCAGGGACACACCTGTCTGCCATTTATATCTGTTGTCGCTAATGAAACACGCTCTAAGAGGTAAGTCCTAGATATTGTAGGGCAGTCCCCCCGTGATGTACTCTGGCACTGGTGTCACCTCCTTATACCCCCTTGCATTGATGGCAAAGTGCTGGCCTCTGCCATTCCCACATCCTCTCACCACTTTGGTGCTATGGATGGAGCCCATCTCTGTATCAGTGTCCCCTGCTTTGAGCTCTGACCTATGAAGAATGTCCAGCCCTTGCATCTCAGTGATGCTGGTGTCCCTCTCACTGGTGCAGTGGTCATGGGCAGTCTTTTTTTTTTTTTTTTTTTTTTTTTTTGAGACGAAGTTTTGGTATTTTTTCCCATGCTGGAGCGTAGTGGTGTGATTACAGGCATCCAGCACAACGCCGGTCTAATTTTTTGTATTTTTAGTAGAGACAGGTTTTCACCATGTTGGCCAGGCTGGTCTCTAACTCCTGACTTCAGGCGATCCACCCACCTCAGCCTCCCAAAGTGCTGGGGTTACAGGCATGAGTCACCCCGCCCGGCCATCATGGGTAGGGTTCAAGATCATAGTCAGCTCCTGGTTCTCCTTCTATAGTAGACCCAATCCAGGATGCCCACTGATTGAGGTTGGAGCTGTGTCCCCACCCACACCTCATATGGAATTGTAATCCCCACTGTTGGAGGTGGGGCTGGCTGCGCTGGTGACAGTTGAGTGGATTATGGAGGCGGATATTTCATGAATAATTTAGCACCATCCCATAGGTGCTGTCCGGTGATGGAGTTCTCAAAAGATCTACTTGTTTGAAAGTGTGTATCACCTCTCCTACCACTTGCTCCAGCTCTGGCCGTGGAAGATGAGCCTGCTTCCCTTGTACTTTTTGCCATGACTCTAACTATTCTGGGGCCTCCCCAGAAGTTGAGCTGATGGCCAGCATCATACTTTTTGTACAGCCTGTGGAACCATGACCCAATTAAACCTGAGTTTTATAAATAATTACCCAGTCTCAGGTAATTCTTTATAGCAGTGCATGAACAGACTAACACATGCACTTCTCAACTATGTTATTCTTTACCCCAAAGCTATCCATCTGTACAATTTGGATCTGAGCCTAACCACCTGCAGTGAGCCCACACTCCTCTGGTTCTGGGCATATTTTTCCACTAGCCTAACCTCACATCCAGTGCTAGCCCCAATTTGGCAATCTCAGGTCACTTACACTACCCTCCAACTTGCCACAAATTCAAAAGTTCCCATCACTCTCAGGGTGACTATGGAGCTAGCATCATTCACACAACTCAAAAAAATCACTCTGTTTGTTTTACAGTGTTATAACAGCTAAAATATACAAATCCAAAGAAGCCAAAGAGACAAACAAATAGGGCTGGGTCAGAAAGGATCCCAGACAGATGACTCCACTGCCTCCTCAAGGCAGGGTGAGGGGGAATGCATCTCCCGGCTCCACTGATGATGGTCTCTTTGTGATGAAGCTTTGTTCCTGGGTCTCAGTTGTACATGTCCTTTGGCTCTAGGAGAAGATGATGCTTTCCAACTCTCAAACCTGATTTATTTCTTATTTTTTTGGAAGCAGAATCTCACTCTGTTGGCCAGGTGGGAGTGTGTGCAGTGGCACAATCATACCTCATTGTAACCCCTAAGTCCCTGACTCAGGTGATTTTTTTATCTCATGCTCCCCATTAGCTAGATCTACAAGTACAGGTGCGTGCCACCAAGCCCATCTAATTTTTAAGAAAATTTTGTTGTAGAGATGAGGTCTTGCTCTGGTGTCCAGGCTGGTCTGGAACTCCTGGACTCAAAAGATCCTACCTCTTCAAGCTTCCCCCGAATCTCTGGATTATAGATGTGAGCCACCACATCTAGTCCCAACTCTCACACTTTAAATTGCTGAGTGACAGGTGACAGCCTGACTTTTCCTCTTTCAATGCATCAATGGCACTCGTTTGCAGCCATCCAATTCCACATTCATATCGCTATTATTTACCTACAATCTTCCAAACCAAAAGCAATGTACCTTCAGTGCTTCTACCGTAGTTCATCCAAAATTACCCCAGGTGAAACATCGGTGGTTTCACAGTGGTCACATGCCCTAGCGACTCTGTCCTCCAACTGCCAGCAGTGATTGTTGCTCACTGAAGTCCTGTGGGGAGTCATCCAACCCCAGAATCCATACTTAGGGTTGACTTCCCAGGACCATTGCCAGTAGCAATTGATAGCTCATGGTTTCTAGAAGCAGAGCATGAGATAGGGAATCAAGATGTGCATTGAGGGAGTGCTCCCGATAGCTCAGGCAGGGCAGCTCAAGGAAACCAGGTAACATCAGGTCTGGCTGAAGACCTGCTTAAGCCTGATCCCAAGCAGGCTCTGGAGCACAGCCTTCAGCACAGAGGTGGCCTCATCTTGGTCACCCTGAGGTTTCTGTGCCAGTGATTCCCTGGCTGCTAGCTGTTGCCAGGAAGGGGGTGATTAACAACCATCTGGGCCATGTGACTGCACGACAACTGAGTGCAAATCTCTCTAGGAGAGGCACCTACCAGGTGTGAAGGAGGATCCTGGGGAAGGGGGTCTGGGCACAGCCATTCCTGTAAATGGCTTTCAGGAAACACATGAGAATCTTTGGGATGTTGGAAATTAGGGGTGGACATTGAGAGAACAAAATGTCCATGGAAAATATTATAAATGTCCATGGAAAGACAAAACGCTGGGCAGAAAGGCAGTGAAAGATCATAAGGGCTCCATAACGTCCTCCGTGTGACAAAGAGTTCATTAAGACAAGGGAGGAACCCTAGACCCTGCTTAAAAGGACGTGGCTTCAGGGAGAGCTCCTGTGGGCACACTCAGAGTTGAGGTAAAACTCCTGGGATTTTGTCTAATTCCAGTGTACTGGGTAGGGGTAGACTTTTGGCAATGTGAGGTCAGGGGTATCAGATGAAGGGGTCAACAAATGCCTGGACAGGATTCACGAAGATGAGAGGGACGTTCGAATTCCTAAAAAGCTGGTGGTCAAAAGAATGAGGATGAAGAGGAGGGTGTCCTGAAACCTCGGAGCCAGAAGTGGGGCTGAAGGCAAGAAGCCTTTCAAGGGAAGAAGGGAGTTTGGAAAGAGATGGATATCAGGCCAGAAACCTTCCCCCAACCTGGTGCCCCAAAGCATTCTAAAAACGGGGGTGGGACACAGAAGAGGTTGTCTGAGCAGAGGAGGATCCCGGAAGCCAGCGTGGGGGAAGGAAGAGGGTATGAGGCTGGCATGAAGTGGGGACTAGAGAAAGGGTGAGTAGTTTTCAGAGAAAAGGCCAGTGTCCAGGGCTGTCCAGGAGCGAATCTGGTCACTTGTTCTGAAACAGGGGTCCGGGTCTGGCAGTGGCAGCATGGTGGGGTGGGTGAGTGGCACTATGGAAGAGCCAAATCTCCACCTCTATCCTCAAAGCCTTTCTTCCACACAGCTTTCCGGTTAGCAAGGCTCCATGAGAATGGTTAGTTCCTGAAAATAGTGGACCCCAGAAGGGCTGACTAGGAGCGTGGGCATAGGGAGAGGGAGGGGATCCAGGGCCCGGAGGACCTTGCCAGAGCGTGTAGCCCGCAGAATTGAGGAAACGAGAGTGGGGGTGGGGATCAGATCCCAGCATTTATGGAGTGACTGCAGCCCAGAAAGGTGGAAAAAACTAAGAAGGGGACCCCAAGGGCTTGAAAGACCTTGCCGAGTGTGGAGCCCTGAAGTGCGCAGGCCACTCGGTTGTCCCTCAGGGGCCTGGGAACCTCGCGGAGTGTGGAGTCTCTAGAACGCAGTCCACTCCGCTGGGGAGGTGGATTTCAGGCCAGAAACCTTCAGGGACCTGGAGCCCCAACACATGCTAAAAACAGGGGTAGGGACACAGATCTGAAAGATTTTGGAGTACTTGGAAGGCAGAAGGGAAACTTGAATAAGTCAGGGTGGAGCGCTCAGAAGATGGCGGAGACAGCCGAGCTGGAAGAATCCAGAAAGAGAGGCGGGGACAGGGGATGGGGGCTCAGACGCATTCAGAGCGCACAGGGCCCCTCCAAGGTCGCTTTCACACTGCCGGGTTTTCCTCTGCGGCTGCAGAGCTGCACTTTTCCTCTGTCCCAACCAAAATGTGACCCTTGAAGGTCTCATCCCCCATGGACTGTATCTGGGCCTCATTTATTCAGGGGCCTCAGTCCTCAAGGAGGCCATTGTCACTCTCCTTCCCGATAGAGTCCTCTCAAATTAGTAAGGGCCCCTCAAGGAGCCCAGGGTTTGTCTTTATCCCTCCCTGAAACTTCTTCGGAAGGAGGAAGTTCCCAAACACCCCCAGGCTTTAGTGCCAGAATTTCACCCTCTGAAACCTCCTCCTTCCCTAGACCCAGTCCGGCTCCTCATCCTCAGTCCCTCAGACCCCATGGAGGTGTCCCCTGCAGTGGGTTTTCTCCAGATTGAGAGCCTCCCCTCCTCAGCACACAACCCAGAGACTCACCCTGTTCTGAGCAGCGAGCCACCGCATAAGCAGACATGAGACCTCACTCCAGTCAAATAACACTTTATTTTTGTAAATTCAATTGTTTTGTTCCCGGAGGAAAGGGAGGAGCTCAGGAGAACAGTGTCGTCAAAATTTCCTGGTGGTTGTTTAATCACAGCCGCCGAGTAGGTCAGAAAACTCATCCGGATTACCCTCTTCCTCCTGAAATTAAAGGAAATGTGCAGGACTCATCAACTGGTAAGGTTTCGTGACAATTGTGCGAATATCGTGCTGGATATATGAATAGAAAGTTAAATCTGAACGACCTGTGCTGCTTGTCCAGACATCATCTTCTTCAGGAAATATGAGATGTTTCTGAAGAGTTTCAGCAGCTTGTCAGGAAAGGACTCTGCCTTTTCCAGTACATAGATGAGCATCATCTGGATTAGAGACCTCAACACGGCGAATACAATTTCCGTTGCTAGTTTTGGGACACATGTCATGAATTGGTCGGCACACCATTTTTCTAACATATCGGTCAGAATACTGGCCACTTTAGGCACTATCTCTTCCTTGGCCAGGTTCTTTATAAGTGAAATAAATGAGCCCATGATATGTGCAATGAGCGTGCTGTTGGTTTCAGGCAAAGTTATATAATGAGAGCGTTCCTGGAGAGTGGAGGCATTTTACAGAAGGTCACGTGGTGGGGGCGGGCCAAGATGGCCAATTAGAAGCAGCTGCCTTCCACTGAGTGAAAAGAAAAGCCCGGGGATTTTTTTTTTTTTTTTTTTTTTTTTGAGACGGAGTCTCGCTCTGTCGCCCAGGCTGGAGTGCAGTGGCGGGATCTCGGCTCACTGCAAGCTCCGCCTCCCGAAGCCCGGGGATTTTGAAGTCAGCGCGTCAACTGAAATATTCAGGTTCTCACATTGGGACTGACTAGGCAAACAACTTGACCCGGGAGAACAAAGAAAAGAGGGATGGATGATGATTCACCCTGTATTGGCAGAGAGCCAAAGGAACCATCTCCGGCATCCGAGGGAAACAGTGACTGAGCGTGTGACCCCGCCCCAGAAACCATGCTTCTCCCATGGATCTTTGCAACCCATGGATCAGGAGATCCCCTCTTGAGCTCAGGTCATAAGGGCCTTGGGTCCAGGACACAGGGCTGTGTGGAGTGTTGGCAGAGCAGCCGCTCAGACACACATAGAGACCCAGGAGTTTCACATACTCTGGCCTTGGGATGCCGGGAAAGGTGGGAGTTCCGTCTATACATTCCCCCAGGAAGGGGGCTGAATTCAGCTGCTTTAGGAGTTTTTAAAACATTATTTTAGGCAGACAGAGAGGAAAAGGGGTCCTTGGGAAGTTTTGTTTCTTTTTAAAGCAGTTCCAGAAAAGAGTCTTGTCTAGCAGGAAAGCCCTGGCTTTTAGAGTTCTCTGGTAAGCTTTGATTGGCAAATGCTGGCCATTAGAAACTGGGTCCGCCCAAACATGGGGATTCCCGCCCGCTTCTGGCCCTTGCCCCTCCCTGTGTACACACCCTGTGATATTGGGAGTAATATAATCCTCTCCCCTCCTGAATATTACGAACAATATCACAGGGGATTTTACACCTTCTGTGATATTGGGAATAATAGCATCCTCTCCTCCTTTTATATTAGGAACAATATCCCAGGGGGTGTGTACACCCTTTGCGATATTGGGACTACTATCATCCTCTTCCCCACTGGATATTAGGAACAATATCACCGGGGGGTGTACATGTCCTGCAATTTTGGAAGTAGTATCATCCTCTCTTGCCTTTTATATTACAAACATTGTTACAAAGGGATGTACATCCTCTGCGATATTGAAAGTAATATCATCGTCTCCCCCATTGGATATTATGAACAATATTACAAGGAGGAGTACACACAGGGTGTTAATTATATTGGGAGTAATATTATCCTCTCCCCCCTTAATATTACAAACAATATCACAGGAGGGTGTACACCCCCCATGATCTTGGGATTAATATAATCCTCTCCCTCCTTGGATATGACAAACGATATCACAAAGTGTGTGTACACCCCATGCGATATGAGAGGTAGCATAATCCAAGAGAGGATTATAATATCTCTTGGATATCAGGAACCATATCACAGGGGAATATACACCCCGTGTGATATGGGGAGTAGTAGTATCCTCTTTCTCCCTGAATATTACAAACAATATAACAGGGGGATGTACACTCTCCGCGATATGGAAAGTAATATCATCCTCTCCTACATTGGATATTATGAACCATATCACAGGGGGGTGTACACCCACTGCGATATGGGGAGTAGTATCCTCCTCTCCACCTTTGGATATTATGAACAATATCACAGAAGGGTGTACACTTCCTGAGATATTCGGAGTAATATCATCCTCTTTTCACCTGGATATTATGAACACTATCACAGCGGGGTGTACACCCTCTGTGACATGGGGAATAATATAATTTTCTCCTCCCCTGGATATTACCAAAAGTATCACAGGGGGGTGTACATCCCCTGTGATATGAGGAGTAGTATCATCTTCTCCTCCCCTGAATATTAGGAACAATGTCACAGAGGGGTATACACCCCCTGCGATATGAGGAGTAATATCATCCTTTCCACCCTTGGATATTATGAACAATATCACAGGGGGTGTACACACAGGTTGTTTACTATATTGGGAGTAATATCATCATCCCCCTCTATATTATAAAGAATATCACAGGGGGTTGTACACCACCTGCAATATTGGGAGTAATATCATCCCCTCCCCCTCTGGATATTATGAACAATATCACTGGGGACTGTATCCCCCCAAGATATTGAAGATAATATCATCCTCTTCCCTTTGGATATTACAAACCACAGAGAGGTGTACACCCCCTGCGATATGGGGAGTAATATTAACCTCTCCTTCCCTGGATATTACAAACCATATCACATGGGGGAGTACACACCCCGTGATATGGAGAGTAATGTCACCCTCTCTCTTCCTGAATATTATGAACCATATAAAAACCCCTGCGATATGGGGAGTAATATTACCTTCTCCTCAGCTTAATATTAGGAACCATATCACAAAAGGGTATACACTCCCCGCGATATGGGGAGTAATATCACCCAGTATACCCCCTGGATATTACAAACCATATCACATCGTGGTGTACGCCTCCCATGATATGGAAAGTAATATCACCTTCCCCCTTCATAGATATTACAAACCAGGCCAGGTGCAGTGGCTCACGCCTGTAATCCCAGCACTTTGGGAGGCCGAGGCAGGTGGATCATCTGAGGTCAGGAGTTCTAGACCAGCCTGGCCAACATGGTGAAACCCCTTCTCTACTAAAAATACAAAAAGTAGCCGGGCGTGGTGGTGTGCGCCTGTAATCCCAACTTCTTGGGGGACCAAGGCAGGAGAATCGCTTGAACCCGGGAGGCTGAGGTTGCAGTGAGCCGAGATCCGGCCATCATACTCCAGCCTGGGGGACAAGAGCGAGACTTCGTCTCAAAAAAAAAAATGTAGATATTACAAACCATATCACATTGGGGTGTATGCCTCCCGCGATATGGGGAGTAATATCACCCTCTCCTCCCTGGGATATTATGAACCATATCACATAAGTGTGTATGCCCCACTCGATATTGAGAGTAATGTAACCCTCTCCCCAACTCAGTGTAACAAACCATACAACAGGGGGTTGTACACCCCCAGCAATATGGAGATTAATATCACCCTCTCTTCTTCTGGATATTATGAATCATATCACAGGCGATGTACATGCCCCGAGATACAGGGAGTAATACCACCTTATTCCACCCTGGATATTATGAACCATATCACAGAGGGGTGTACACCCCCCACGATATGGGAGTAATATCACCCTCTCCCCTTTTGGATATTACGAACTGTATTTCACGGGAGTGTACACCCTTGGCGATATGGAAAGCAATATCACCTCTCTTAACCTGAATATTATGAACCATATCACAGGTGGGTGCACACCCACCACGATGTGGGGAGTAATGTCACCCTCTCCTTCTCTGGATATTACTAACCGTATAACACCTCCTTCGATATTGGGAGCAATATTACCCTCTCCCCTCCTGGATATTACGAACCATATTCAAAGGGTGGTGTACATTCCCTGGAATATGGGGAGTAATATCACCCTCTTTTCTTCTGGATATTATGAACCATATCACAGGGGAGTGTACGCCATCCGAGATACAGGGAGTAATATTACTCTCTCCCCCGCTGAATATTACAAACCATATCACAGGGTGGTGTGTGTTCCCCGCGATATGAGGAGTAATATCACCCTCTTTTCTTCGGGATATTATGAACCATATCACAGAGGGGTGTACGCCCCCGCAATATGGGAAGTAATATCACCCTCTCCCCGTCTGGATATTACGAATCATATCACAGAAAAGTGTACGACCCCACGATATGGAGAGTAATATCTCCCTCTCCGCCCCCGGGATATCACAAACCATATCACAGGGGTGTATATGCCCCCCGCGACATGGAGAGTAATATCTCCCTCTCCCCTCCGGGATATTATGAACCATATCATAGTGGGGTGTATGCCCCACGTGATATGGGGAGTAATATCACCCTCTCCACCCCAAGATATTATGAACCATTTAACGGGGAGGGGTGTATGCCACCGCGATATGGGGAGTAATATCATTTTCTTCCTCCTGGGATGTTACAAACCATATCACGTGGGGGTGTACCCTGATATGTAACGTGATATGGGGAGTAATAGTACCCTCTCCCCCCGGGGATACTGTAAACCATTTCCCAGGGAAGTGTACACCCCCCGGTGATATAGGGAGTAATATCACCCTCTCCACCCCGGGATATTGTGAACCATATCACTGGGAGGGTGTAGCCCCCGCGACAGGGAAAGTAATATCATTGTCTCCTCCTTGGGGTATTTCGAACATGTCACGAGGGTGTGTAACCCCTCACTCGGTATGTGGAGTAATATCACCCTCTCCCTCCCTGTATATTATGAGCCATATCACACCCAGGTGTAGGCCCCCGGTGATATGGGGAGAAATATCACCCTCTCAGCCCCCGGGATATTACGAACCATGTCACAGGGGAGTGTATGTTCCCTGCAATATGAAAAGTAATATTGCACTCTTTTCCCTGAAGTATTACTAACCTTGCCACAGAAGGGCGTATGCTCTTCGCTGTATGGGGAGTAATATTACCCTCTACCCCCTCCCCCACCGGGATATTTCGAACCATGTCACAAAGGAGTATATGGCCCTCGCGATATGGGGAGTAATATCACACTCTCCCCCCAAGGATATTATGAACCATATCACAGGGGGGAGTACTCCTTCGCGATATGGAGAGTAATATCACCCTATCCACCCTGGGATATTACAAACCATATCACCAGGGGATGTAAACTTCCCGTGATGTGGGGAGTAATATCAACTCCTTCCCTTAAGATATTTTGAACCGAGGCGGAAGTAAGGGTGAGAGGAGGCTGCAACGCCGATCGGAGGAGGCAGGAACCGGAGCTCTAGCAGTAGCTGGGTGGGCACCATGGCTGGGATCACCACCATCGAGGCGGTGAAGCGCAAGATCCAGGTTCTGCAGCAGCAGGCAGATGATGCAGAGGAGCGAGCTGAGCGCCTCCAGCGAGAAGTTGAGGGAGAAAGGTGGGCCCGGGAACAGGCTGAGGCTGAGGTGGCCTCCTTGAACGTGGGATCCAGCTGGTTGAAGAGGAGCTGGACCGTGCTCAGGAGCACCTGGCTACTGCCCTGCAAAAGCTGGAAGAAGCGGAAAAAGCTGCTGATGAGAGTGAGAGAGGTAAGAAGGTTATTGAAAACCGGGCCTTAAAAGATGAAGAAAAGATGGAACTCCAGGAAATCCAACTCAGAGAAGCTAAGCACATTGCAGAAGAGGCAGATAGGAAGTATGAAGAGGTGGCTCGTAAGTTGGTGATCATTGAAGGAGACTTGGAACGCACAGAGGAACGAGCTGAGCTGGCAGAATCCCTTTGCCGAGAGATGGATGAGCAGATTAGACTGATGGACCAGAACCTGAAGTGTCTGAGTGCTGCTGAAGAAAAGTACTCTCAAAAAGAAGACAAATATGAGGAAGAGATCAAGATTCTTACTGATAAAATAAAGGAGGCGGAGACCCATGCTGAGTTTGCTGAGAGATCGGTAGCCAAGCTGGAAAAGACAATTGATGACTTGGAAGATAAACTGAAATGCACCAAAGGGGAGCACCTCTGTACACAAAGGATGCTGGACCAGACTCTGCTTGACCTGAATGAGATGTAGAACGCCTCAGTCTCACCCTGCTGCTGCTCCTCCCTCTGAACCAGACTCCGCCTGAGGCCAGCCTGCCCGAAGCTGACCTTTAATTGAGGGCTGATCTTTAACTGGAAGGCTGCTTTCTCCTTTCGCCGCCCCCTCCTTCCGCCGCCCGCTCCTTCCCTGTGTCTTTTTCACCAAACTGTCCGCCTCTTCCCGGAGATTCCAGCTGGGCTAGAGGCTGAGCACCTTTGGAAACAACATTTAAGGGAATGTGAGCACAATGCATAATGTCTTTAAAAAGTATGTTGTGATGTACACATTTTGTAATTACCTCTTTTGTTGTTTTGTAGCAACCTTTTGTAAAACATTCCATATAATACCACAGCCCTGAAGCAGCGATCGAATCCCTTTCTCACTTTTGGAAGGTGACTTTTCACCTTAATGCATATTCCTCTCTCCATGGAGGAGAGGAAAAGGTATAGGCCTGCCTTGCTGAGAGCCAAACAGAGCCCAGGGAGACTCCACTATGGGAAGCCTCATTGCTCTGTACAAAGTACTAGCTAAGCCAGAAAGGTGGTTCCAGGAGGAGTTAGCCAAACAACAACAACAAAAAATGTGCTGTTCAAGTTTTCAGCTTTAAGATACCTTTGGATAATGTTATTTCTATTTTTTATTTTTTTCATTAGAAGTGACCAAATTAAGATGGCAAGACCTCTGAGACCAAAATTTTGTTCCATCTCTACCCCCTCCCAACTGCTTACAGAATGGATCATGTTCCCCTTATGTTGAGGTGAGCACTTAATTGCTTTTCTTGCCTCCTTGAAAGAAAGAAAGAAAGAAAGAAGATTGTGTTTTTGCCACTGATTTAGCCATGTGAAACTCATCTCATTACCCTTTTCTGAGTTTGAAGCTGCTGTCTCTACAAGTGCCATCTCATTGTGCTTTGTATCAGTCAGTGCTGGAGAAATCTTGAATAGCTTATGTACAAAACTTTTTAAATTTTATATTATTTTGAAACTTTGCTTCTTTGGGTTTGTGGCACCCTGGCCACCCCATCTGGCTGTGACAGCCCCTGCAGTCCGTGGGCTGGCAGTTTGTTGATCTTTTAAAGTTTCTTTCCCTACCCTGTCCCCATTTTCTGGTAAGGTTTCTAGGAGGTCTGTTAGGTGTACATCCTACAGCTTATTGGCTTAATATGTACTCTCCTTTGATGTGGTCTACTTGGGGCCGATTGGGAGAAAGAGAAATCAATAGTGCAACTGTTTTGTTAATGAATATTGACAAGTGTCTTTTTGAAATAAAGAACCAGTCCTTCAAAAAAAAAAGACATTTTGAACCATATCACAGGGGGGTGTATGTCCCTGCAATATGGGGAGTAATATCACTCTCTCCCCTCTGGGATATTACAAACCATATCACAGGAGGGTGTACGTCCCCACAATATGGGGAGTAATATTACCCTCTCCTCCCTGGATATTATGAACCAAACCACAGGGGGCTTATGCCACCCGCGATATGGAGCATAATATCTTCCTCTACTCCCCGGAATATTATGAACTGTATCACAGGGGAGTGTATGCCCTTCACAATACGAAGAGTAATATTACCCTCTCCCCCATGGGATATTACGAACCATGTCACACCCCTTGCGATATGGGAAGTAATATCCCTGTCTTTCCTTCCGGATATTCTGAACCATATCACAGGGGGATATACACCCCCTGGGATATGGGGAGTAATATCGTTCTCCTTGGGCCATGCGTGGTGGCTCACATCTGTAATCTCAGCACTTTTGGAGGCCGAGGCGGATGGATCACAGGGTCAGGAGTTCGAGATCAGCCTGGCCAATATGGTGAAACCCCGTCTCTAATAAAAATACAAAAATTAGCCAGACGTTGTGGGGTGCGCCTGTAGTCCCAGCTATTCAGGAGGCTGGGAGAGGAGAATTGCTTGAGTCCAGGAGGCGGGGGTTGCAGTGAGCCAAGATCGTGCCACTGCACTCCAACCTGGGTGACACAGTGAGACTCAAAAAAAAAAAATCATTCTCATTTCCCCCCCTGGATATTACAAACTGTTTCACAGGTAAATGTAGACCACCTGCGATATGGTGAGTAATATCACCCTCCTCTCCTTCCCTGGATATTACAGACCATATCGCCGGGGGTGTACTCCCCCTCCCGTGTACACCCCCGGCGATATGGGGAGTAATATCACTCTCCTGTTTCCTTTTGGATATTATGAACTTGATCAAAGAGGGATGTACTCCCACCGAGATATGGGGAGTAATATCACCCTCCTCATCCCCCTGGATATTCCAAACCATATCACAGGGGGGTGGGCACCACCCGCGATGTGGGGAGTAATATCACCCTCTCTTCTATTACAAACAATATTACAGGGGTATGTACACTTCCCGCGATATGGGGAGTAATATTACCCTCACCCACCCTGGATATTATGAACCATATCACAGGAGAGTGTACATCCCCCAAGATGTGGAGAGTGATAGCAGCCTCCTTCCCCAGGATATTATGAACCATAACACACCCCCGGCAATATGAGGAGTAATATCACCCTCTCCCGACCTGGATATTACGAACCATGTCACAGGAGGGTGTACATGCCCCGAGATATGGGGAGTAACATTACCCTCTCCTCCCCTGGATATTACAAACCATGTTACAACCCCCGTGATATGGTGAGTAATATCACCCACTATATCCCCTAGATATTACAAACCATATCACAGGAAGGTGTACGCCCCCCACAATATGGGGAGTAATATCAATCTCTCCCCTTCTGGATATTACGAACCATATCACAGGGAAGGGTATACCTCCCATGATATGGGAAGTAATATCACCCTCTCCAACTTGGATATTATGAACCATATCATAAAGGGGTGTCTGCACCCAGCAATATGGAAAGTAATATCACCTTTTCCTCCCCTAGATATTACAAACCATATCACAGGGGGGGTGTATGCCCTCTGCAATACGGGGATTAATATCACCCTCTTCTTTTCTGGTTATTATGAACCATATCACAGGGGTTGTATGTCCCCCCGCAATATGGGGAATAATATCACCCTCTCCCCCCTGGATATTAGGAACCATATCACAGGGAAGTGTACTCCCTTCATGATATGGAAACGACTCCTCCTCTGCCCCCTGGATATTACTAATTATACCACAGAAGAGTGCACGCCCCCTGATTATCACACCTCCCAAGATATGTGGAGTAATATCATCGTCCTCTACCCTTCTGGATATTATGAACCATATCACAGGGGGTTGTACACCCTTCGCGATATGAGGAGCAATATCACCCTCCTCTCTCCCCTGGATATTATGAACTATATCACAGGGGAGTTTACAACACCCGCGATATGGGGAGTAAATATCACTCTCCTCTCCCCCGCCTGGATATTATGAACCACGTCACAGGGCGTGTGTACACTTCACTTCAACTTTTTCCCTTAAGTTGTACACATCAACTTCTTCCTTTGAGATACTATGAACCAGATCACGGGGGTGTATGCTCCCCGCGATATGGGGAGTAATATCACCCTCGCCCCCCAAAGATATTACAAACCATATCACAGGGGGCTGTACGTCTCCACAATATGGGGAGTAATATTACCCTCTCCCCCCTGGATATTATAAGCCAAACCATAGGGGGTTGTAGGCCACCCGCGATATAGGGCATAGTATCTTCCTCCACTCTCCGGAATATTATGAGCTATATCACAGGGGGGTGTATGCCCTTCGCGATATGGGGAGTAATATCACCTTCTCCCCTCGGGATATAAAGAACCACATCACAAAAAAGTGGACGCCTTCCACGATATGGGGAGTGATATCACCCTCATCTGCCCCCCTGGATATTACCAACCACATCACAAAGGGGTGTACACCCCCCCGATATTGGGAGTAATGTCACCCTCCTTTTTCACTCTGGATATTCTGAACCATATCACAGGGAGTTGTACACCGCCTGCGATATGAGGAGTAATATAGTAATAGCATCTTCTCCACCCCTGGATATTAGGAACAAAATCACAAGGAAAGTGTACATTCCCTGCGATATTGAAAGTAAAATCATCCTTCCCCCATATTGCATATTAGAAACAATATCACAGCTCGGGTGTATACCCCCTGCGATATTGGGAGCAATATCATCCTCTGCCTCCTGGATATTAGAAAAAATATCACAAGGGGGTGTATACGACTCCTGAGATATTGGGAGTAACATCATTCTCTCCCACCCTGAATATTAGGAACAATATCACAGGGGGGTGTACACCCTCTCCAATATTGAGAGTAATATTATCCTGCCACCCCACCCCCCAGATATTAGGAACAAAATTACAGGGAAAATGTACGCCCTGTGATATTGGAAATAATACTATTTTTTATTTCTCTGGATATTAGGAACAATATCACGGGGGGTGTACACCCTCTGCGATATTGGGAATAATATTATCCTCTGCCCCCCTGGATATTGGAACAATATCAAAGGGGGGTGTACACCCCTGTCAATATTAAGGGTAATATCATACTCTCCCTTTCCTGATATTAGGAAAAATATCACAAAGGAGGTGTTCACCCCTGCAATATTGGGAGTAACATGATTTTCTCCTCTACTGGATATGAGAAACAATATCACAGGGGTAGTGTACACGCTCAGTATTGAAAGTAATATCATCTTCTCACTCCCTGGATATTAGCAACAATATAACAGGGAAGGTGAACACTTCTTGCGATATTGTGAGTAATATTATCTTCTACTCCGCCGGATGTAGGTGTACATCCCCTGCGATATTGGGAGTAATATGATTCTCTCCCCCTCTGGGTATTAGGAACAATATCACGGAGTGGGGGGAGACACCACCCGCGATATTGGGAGTAATATTATCCTGTCATTCTCCTGGATATTAGGAACAATATCATAAGGGAGTGTACACCTCCTGTGATATTGATAGTAATATCACCCTCATTTTCCCTAGATATTAGAAACAATATCACAGGTTGGGGTGTACACCCCCTGTGATCCTGAGTGTAATATCCTCTCCCTCCCTGGATATTGGAAGCAATATCACAGAAAGGGTGTACAGTCTTTGCGATATTGGGAGTAATATCATCCTCTCCCTCATGGATATTAAGAACAATATCAAAGAAGGCCTGTACACACCCTGTGACATTGGGAGTAATATCATCTTCTCTTCCTCTGGATATTAGAAACAATATCACACGGAGGGTGTATAGCCCTGGGATATTTGGAGTAATATTATCCTCTCCCACCCTGGATATTAAAAACAATATCACAGTGGGGGTGTAATCCCCCTGCGATATTGGGAGTAATATCATCCTCTCCCCCCAGATATTAGAAACTATATAAAAAGAAGGGTGTACACCCCATGCGATATTGGAAGGAATATTATTTTCTCCAACCTTGAATATTAAAAACAATATCACAGGGGGCTCTACACCCCCTGCTGCAATACAGTGAGTAATATTACCCTCCTTCGTCCTGAACATTAGGAAGAATATCACAAGGGGAGTTTACATCTCCTGTGATGTTGGGAGTAATACCATCCTCTCCTCCACTGCATATTAGAAACAATATCTCAGGGAAGGTGTACACCCCTGCGATATTGGGAGTAATATAATCATTTACCCCTCTGGATATTAGGAACAATATCACAGGACAGGTATACATTTCTTGTAATATTAGGAGTAATATCATCCTCTTTCCTTCTGGATATTAGGAAAAATATCACAGGGGGAGTGTATGTCCCCTTCGATTTTAGGAGTAATATTATCTTCTCCACCCCTGGATATTAGAAGAAACAATATCACATAGGGTTGTACAGCCCCTGCGATATTAGGAGTAATATCATCTCCTTTCCCCCTGGATATTAGGAACAATATCAAAGGGAGGTTGTACACCTTCTACAATATTTAAAGTAATATCATCTCCTCCGCTGGATACTAGGAACAATATCACAGGAGGTGTGCACACCCCCTGCGATATTGAGAGTAATATAATTTTCTCCCATCCTTGATATTAGAAACAATATCACGGGGAGATGTACACCCATTGTGATATGTGATATTAGGAGTAATATCATTTTCTCCCTTCCTGGATATTAGGAAAAATATCATAGTGGGAGTGTAAGTTCCCTGCGATTTTAAGAGTAATAGCATCCCCTCCCCCCCTGGATATTAGGAAGAATATCACAGAAGCGATGTACACCCCCTGTGATATTGGGATTAATATCATCCTCTCTCTTCCTGGATATTAGGATCAATATCACAGGGAAGTGTACACACCCTGCGATATTTGGAGTTATATTATTCTTTTCCTTTTTGAATATGAGAAACAATATCACAGGGCCGTTGGACACCCCCTACAATATTGCGAGTAATACCATCCTCTCACCGCTGGATATTAGAAACAACATCACAAGGGGCTGTACACCTTCTGTGATATTGACAGTAATATCATCCTCTTCTTTCTTAGATATAACAAACAATATCACAGGAGGAGTGTACACCCACTGTTGATATTGGGAGTAATATTATCACAGGGCGTGCGTGCAACCCCTGCAATATTGGGAGCAATGTCATCCTCTCTTACTCTGGATATTAGGAACAATATCACGGGGGGTGTATACAGCCTGCAATATTGGGAGTAACATCATTCTTTGCCTCCCTGGATATTAAGAATGATATCATGGGGGGCCTGTACACCCCCTGCGATATTGGGAGTAATATCAGCCTTTCACCCTTTGGATATAAAAAACAATATCACGGGGATGGTGTACACCCTCTGCTGTATTTGGAGTAGTAGCATTCTTTTCTCCATGAATATTAGGAACAATATCTCAGGAGGAGTGTACGTCCCCTGTGATTTTGGGAGTAATATTATCCTCTCCCCCTGGATATTAGCAACAATATCACAGGGGTGGTGTACACCCCCTGCGATACTGGGAGTAATATCATTCTCTCCTTTCCTGGATGTTAGGAATAATATCACAAAGAGGATGTACACCTTCTGTGATATTGGGGGTAATATCCTTACCCACATAAATATTAGGAAATATATCACAGGGGGGTGTACATATCCTGCGATATTGGAAGTAGTTCATTCTTTCCCGCCTGGATATTATGAACAGTATCCCAGGGGTGTGTACACTCTGTGATATTGGGGGTAATGTCATCTTCTACCCCCCTGGATATTATAAACAATATCACAGGGGATGTACACACAGGATGTTTACGTTATTTTGAGTAATATCATCCTCTCCACCCCTGGATATTACAAACAATATCACAGGGAGGTGCACATCCCCTGAAATATTGGCAATTATATCATCCTTTTCTCCCCTGGATATTACGAACAATATCACAGGGGGGTGTACACCCCCTGTGATACTCGGAGTGATATCATCCTCTCCTTTTCTAGATATTTCAAAGAATATCACAGGGACCGTACACCACCTGCAATATTGGGAGTAATATCATCCTCTCCTTTTCTGGATATGATGAACAATAAATATCACTAGTGGGTGGACACCCCCGGTGATATTGGGAGTAATGTTATCCTGTCTTCCCCTGGATATTATGAACAATATGGCAAAGGGGTGTACACTCCCTGGGATATTGGGAGTAATAGCATCCTCTTTCATTCCGGATATTGGGAACAATATCACAGGAGAGTGTACACCCCCTTCGATATTGGAAGTAATATTATCATATTTTTTTCCTGTATTTTAAGAACAATATCATCTTCTCCATTCTGAATATTACCAACAATATTACAGGGGGATGAACGTCCCCTGAGATATTAAGACTAATATAATTTTCTCTCCCCCTAGATATTACGAACAATATCACAGGGGGTTGTACTCCCCCTGCTATATTGGAAATAATAGCATTCTCTTTTCTTCTTGGTATTACAAACAAGATCACAGGGGGGTGTACACTCCCCACGATTTTGGGAGCTATATCATCCTTTCCCCCTCTGGATATTCGGAACAATATCACAGGGAGTGTGCACCCCCTGCGATATTGGGAGTAACATTATCCTCTCCCCAGAGCGCCTCTGCCCGGCCTCTGAACCGTCTGGGAAGTGAGGAGCGCCTCTGCCCGGCAGCCCCACCATCTGGGAAATGAGGAGAGTCTCTGCCCGGAGTCCAAGTGTCTGGGAAGTGAGGAGCGCCTCTGCCCAGCCGCCCCACTGTCAGGGAAGTGAGGAGTGCCTCAGCTCGGCGGCCACACCATCTGGGAAGTGAGGAGCACCTCTGCATGGCCACACCACCGTCTGGGAAGTGAGGATCGCCTCTAGCCTGCCGCCCCACCATGTGGGAAGTGAGGAGCGCCTCTGCTGGGCCGCCCTACCCTCTGAGAAGTGAGGATCGCCTCTGCCCGGCTGCCCCACCATCTGGGAAGTGTGGAGCGCCTCTGGCTTGCCGCTGCTCCGTTTGGGAAGTGAGGAGTGCCTCTGCCAGGCCTGCAAACCGTCTGGGCAGTGAGGAGCACCTCTGCCCGGCAGCCCCCTGTTCTGGGAAGTGAGGAGCACCTCTGCCCGGCTCCTGCAACATCTCGGAAGTGAGGAGCACCTCTGCCCGGCTGCCTCACCGTCTGGGGAGTGAGGAGCGCCTCTGCCCGGCCACTGTGCAACCCTCCAATTGTGAAGTGGCAGCCTTCTGTTTGATCTTTCTGCCCTTCTCAAGTTTGCATTTTTGACATTAAAGTTTACTTTTAAAATAAAAAAATTATCTTCTCCCCTTCTGGATATTACAAACAATATCACAAGAAGGTTACACCCCTTGAGCTATTGTAAGGAATAGCATCCTCTCCCTACCTTGATATTACAAACAATATCATATGGGGCTACACACCCCCTGTGATATTGGAAGTAATATCATCCTCTCCCCTTCTGGATTTTATGGACAATATCACAAAAGGGTGTGCACCTTCTACGATATTGTGAGTAATATCATCCTCTACCCCCCTGGATATTATGAACCATATCATATGGGGGTGTACACTTCCCACCATATGGGGAGTAATAGCAACCTCTCCCCTTCCGGATATTACGAACCATACTACAGGGCGGTGTACACCCTCCACGATATGGGGAGTAATAGCATTCTCTCCCGTCGTGGATATTACAAACTATACCACAAAGAGGTGTACACTCCCTGTGATATGGGGATAATTACACCTTCTCTCCCTCCTTGATTTTACGATCCGTACTACAAGGGGGTGTACACTCCCCGCAATATGGGGAGTAATAGCACCTACTCCCCCGCTGGATATTAGGAACCAAAGGGGGGTGTACACCCCTCTCTATAAGGGGAGTCACAGTGTAGCAGGAGGAGCCGCGGACAAAATCCCACAGACACCGAGGTAGTGAAGGAAGTGGCTTTTAATCAGCTGGAAGCATCAGCAGACTAGAGTATCAAAATCCAAGCTTGTTGAGTGCACAATTTCTGTCCTTTTTAAGGGCTCACAACACTAAGGTTTTTACATGAAAGGGCCATGATTGATTGAGCAATCTAGTGGGTATGTGACAAGGGCTGCATGCACCAGTACTCAGAGTGAAACAGAACAGAACAAGAAATTTCACAATGTCCTTCCATACAATGTCTGGAATCTATGGATAACATCAGTTGCTAGGTCATGGGTTGAATTTTAACTTTCAGGCTAAGGTCAGGAAGGCCCAGGCCTGGTTTCGGGTCTGGTTTTGGATCTGGTGCCTGGCGCCGGGCTGCCTGCCTTTGGTTTCGCTTCCTTGTTTCTTCTTAAAACAGGTACTGAGTATAAAATAATACAGAACAATATGGGGGGGGTCTTTTGCTCTCTTCTCTCAATAGCACCCCTTACCTGGGATATTACAAAACATACCATAGAGGGGTGTACGCCTCCTGCAAAATGGGGAATAATAGCACCCTCTCTTACCCTGGATATTTCGAACCATACCACAGGGAGGTGCACTCCCCCCGCGATATGGGGAGTAATAGCACCCTCAATCCCCTGGATATTGTGAACCGTACCACAGGGGAGTGTACATTTCCAGCGATATGAGGGGTAATAACACCCTCTTCGTTCCCGGAGATTACAAAACATACCACACGGGGGTGTACACACCCCGCGATATGGGAAGTAATAGCATCCTCTTTCCCCCTGGATATTAGGAACCGTACCGCAGCAGGGTGTACATGCCTCGCGATATGGGGAATAATAGCACCCTTTCCCTCCCTGGATATTATGAACCATACCACAGGGGGGTGTACACCCCTTGCAATATGGAAAGTAATAGCACCCTCTTTCCTTCTGGATATTAGGAAACATACCAAAGAGGGGTGTACACCCCCTGCGATATTGAAAGTAATATTATCTTGCTCCCTTCTGGATACTAGGAACAATATCACAGGGGAGTGTACATGCCCTGTGATGTTTTGAGTAATATCATCCTCTCCCCTTTGAATGTTAGGATCAATATCACAGGGAGGTGTACACGTTCTGCGATATTGGGAGTAATATCATCCTCTACTTTTCTGGATATTAGGAACAGTATCACAGAAGATGTGAACACTCCCTGCTATATATCCAGTAATATCAACCTCTCCCCTCCTGGATATCAAGAATAATATAACCGGGGGGTGTACCCCACCTCTGATATTGGAAGTAATATCATCCTCTCTCCCTCTATATATTATGAACAATATCTCAGAGAGGGTGTATGCCCCCTGCGATATTGGGCGTAATATCATACTCTCTTCCCCTGGATATTAAAAACAATATCACAGGGGGAATAGGCACCACCTGAGATATTGGGAGTAATATCATCCTCTCCCTTAAAGGATATTAGGAACAATACATAGGGGTGGTGTACACCTCCTGTGATATTATAAGTTATATCATCCTCTCTTCCCCCAAAATATTAGGAACAATATTACAGGGGCGTTGTACACCTTCTGGGATATGGAGAGCAATGTCATCCTCTTTTCCATTGGATATTAGGAACAATATAAAAGGGGGGTGGACACACCCTGCGATATTGGCAGTAATATCATCTTTTCCCTCCTGGATATTAAGAAAAATATAACAAGAGAGGTGTACACTTCCTGCGACATTGAGAGTGATATCGTCCTCCCCCGCATGGATATTAGGAACAATATCACAGGTTGGTGCACACCCCCTGCGATATTGGGACTAATATCATCCTCTCCCCGCCCGAATATTTGGAACAATATCACAGGGGGGTGTACACCCCCCTGCAATATTGAGAGTAATATTCTCTCTTCCTGTGGATATTAGGAACGATATCACAGGAGAGGTGTACACACCCTGAGATATTGGGAGTAATATTTTCATCTTTCCTTTTGAATATTAGGAACAATAGCAGGGTGGGGTACACACCCTGTGATATTGGCAGTAATGTCATCCTTCTTCCCCCTGGGTATTAGAAACAATATAACAGGGGAAGTGTACACCCTCTCCGATATTGGGAGTAATATCATCCTCTTCCCTGCTGGATATTAGGAACAACATGACACGGTGGGTGTACACTTCCTGGAAAATGGGATTAATATCATCCTCTTTCTTCCTGGATATTAGGAACACTACCAAAGGGGAAGTGTAACCCCCTGCAATATTGGTAGTAATATCATCCTCTTTTTCCCTGATTATTATGAAGAATATCACAGCGGGGGTGTACAATTTCTGCGATATTGAGAATAATAGCATCCTCTCCTCCCTCCCCAAATACTAGAAACAATATCCCAGGATAAGTGTACACCCTCTGCGATATTGGGCATAATATCACACTCTTTTCCCCTGGATATTAGAAACAATATCATAGGTGGGGTGTACACCCCCTGGGAGTAATATCATCCTCACCACTTCTGGATATTAGGAACAATATCACAGGAGGTGTGTACACCCCTTGCTGCAATGGGAGTAATATCATGTACCTTCCCCCTGGATATTGAAAACTATACCACAGGAAAGGTGTACAAACCCTGTGATATTGAAAGTAATATTATCTTCTTTCCCCCTGAGTATTAGGAACAATACCACATGGGGTGTGTACACCCCCTGCCATATTGGGAGTAATATTATTTTCCCCTCGCCTGGATATAAGGAACAATATCACAGGAGGGGTGTACACCCCCAGCGATATTGAAAGCAATATCATCTCCTCCCCTCTTGATATTAAAAACAATATCACCGGAGGAGTTCACACCCCTGTGATATGGAGACTAATATCATTTTCTCCCCACCGAAGTATTAAGAACAATATCATGGGGGGGTGTGTACACCTTTTGTGATATTGGGAGTAATATCATCCTTTTCCAACCTGTATATTAAAAACCATATCACAGGGGGTGTGTACACCCCCTGTAATATTCACAATAATATCATCGTTTTCTTCCCTGGCTATTAGGAACAATATCACAATGGTGGTGTACACCCCCTGTGATATTGGGAGTAACATCATCCTCTTCCCTTTTGGATACTGTGAACAATCCCACAGGGGAGAGGTACACCCCCTGCGATATTGGGAGTAATATCCTCTCCCGTCATGGATATTAGGAACAATATCACAGGAGCGGTGTACACCCCCTGCGATATTGGGAGTAATATCATTTTCTCCCAACCTAACTAGCACAATATCACAGGGGGTGTTCGCCCCCTGCCATATTGAGAGTAATGTCATCCTCTCCCCTCCTGGATATGAAAAACAATATCACAGTGGGGCCGTGCACCCCCTGCGATATTGGGAGTAATATCATCCTCTCTACCCCCTGGATATGAGGAACAATATTACAAAGGGGTGTACACCCCCTGGAATATTCACAGCAATATCATTGTTTCCCTTCCTGGATATTAGGAACAGTATCACAAGGGGGGTGTAGACCTCCAGCGATATTGGGAGTAATATCATGCTCTCTCCTTCTTTATATTAGAAACAATATCACGGGGAGGGGTGTACACCACCTGCGATATCATCCTCTTTACCCCTGGATATTAGGAACAATATCACTTGTGGGGTGTACTTCTCCTGTGATATCGGGCATAATAATATCCTCTCCCCCCTGAATATTAAGAACAATATAACAGGGGGACAGCACAACCCCTGTGATATTGAAAGTAATATCATCCTCTGCTTCCCTGAATATTAGGAACATTATCACGGGGGGGGGGGGTGTACACTCCCTGCTATATTGGGAGTAATATAATCCTCTCCCTCCCTGAATATTAGGAACAATATCACAAGGGGGGTGTACAACCCCTTCTATATGAGAAGTAATATCATCCTCTTCCTTCCTTTATATATATTTTTTTCCATTGAAAGTTGTTTATTTCTCTGATGTAAGTGAGCTAAGTCACTACAGCATTAAAATCTCTTTTCTAGAACAACGTAAAGAACAATGTATACACATCTTAAATTTGGTAGGTCACAAAAGTTAGAATGCAATCATCTTTTGAGGCAACAAGAAAATAAATAAATAAAAATTAAACACTTTAACCCAAAATTTGGTATTGACAAATCAGTAGTGTCAACTTCACATATGAAGGACAATACAGTCTGGTTATTTAAAGATGCTCAATATGTCATGGTATTTGGGCTAAAGATACTTAGAATATTGCGTTTCCTTTTTGATTAAAGGAATACAATGCAATCACCATCAAGCTGCTATCATAACTCATTTTTAGCTGTGGTAAAGTGACCATTTGGTCCATGGCACAAGTTACATATATCACACTTCTGTCAAACTGAAACCTTGTAAGATTTCATGTTTATAAGCTACAATACACCCTGACCAAGCTGTCAGTCCCCTCACGGTTTTTTAGAAAAATATCTACATTTGTCCTTATGGATGTCAAAATGTTACACCATCATTTGTTAAAAAAAAAAAAAAAAGATGCACATTCATACTGTGAAGTTATTAGGAAAATACTCTTGCAAACAAACTATATAAAGATAAAACACGCTTCAAAAGTATGTGGTTTGTTTTCTTGTTTGTCTGTTTTACAATATTCTATAAAGTGCAGAGTCCTAAGGGAAAAAACTACTCCCTATAACAATAGTTCAATTACAGCAGCTTTTGCATAGCAATACTTAGAGAAAGTTGGACACTACAGTTTCTTCAGGAAGAGAAGGATGGAAGAGTATCTTCTGATTCAGATTGTTTTTTGGCCATAAGTCTGCTTTCTTCAGGAATGGTTGCTGATGCCAAATCTCCGTTAAGTGTATTTTATGAACAGTGAACAGGTCTATCTGGGTCTTCAAGAGGAATATCACTACAAGAATCTGTATCTGAGTAGGTTCTTCGGCGTCGCTGGGAGAGTCGGTGAAGTGCAGATACTGGTTCTTTTATACAGTGGCTACTCCTCCCTGGTGCAAGAACCAGGGTGGCTGACAGAACGCTTCCTCATTTGAACAGGAGAAGGTGACACAGGAGAAACTAAGGGATCCGGATGGTGCCGTTGAAACATCTCAGGTTTAAACCTGGCATTGGCTATCTTCACACATTCCTCAAGCGTTGTGATGAACGTGTTACACGTGGCACTAAGCAGAGAAGAGGCTTCATTGATGTTCTCTGCACTAGGAGATGAATGATTCTCATCGTGGTGAACAAATTCCTGTATCGTATGAACTTGCTGCATTAAGAGGTCACAGTAGAGGCGAAGTTCAGACATTTTGGTTTTCAGCGATTCACTGGTTTCACTTCTTTCTTTTTCGTTTTTAGTCCTTGTATCAGTCAAACATGCTTTGGAGCTCCCCAGAGCGACCAGCCACCTCTGTCTTTCAGCTGCGTTCACTGCCTTCATGTAGAAATGCTGCTCTCCAGGAATGATTAATTCCATTCTTGTGTTGTCTGCTGAATGAACAGAATTTATGTATCCAATCAAGGGTGGTCCCCTCCAAAGCTGTCACCTTTAATTTCACAAACTGCCATCTTTATGCTTCCTTTGCTCCCTTTGCAAACATCATCTTGTGAATCATAATAGGATAAGATTCCATTATCTAAAACAAACCAACGAGGCTGCCAACCTGTGAGATAGTTGGTCCACTTGTACAAAACCCCCTCCATGCTTCAGAGCCCCACACCGCTCATCCTCCCGGCCCGGCGCCGGCCGCGGTGATGGGGTAGGCGCGGGGCCTGGGGCAGCCTTTCCCGGCCCGCCCGGGCCCCCTCCGCCGGCACGAAGCCGCTTTCTGCCTGCGCGCGCCGCAGGGACGTGGCGGCCCTTAGAGGCCGGGACAGCGGGCGCAGCGTGGAGCTTGGGGGCCGCGAGGCGCGGGCTCAGACATCCCCGGGTAAGCCTCGGCGGCGGCGGCCGCGACAACGGCAAAAATGCGACTGCGACCGCGACCGGTCTCGTGCTCGCGCTTCCGCGGCCCGGCTGCTCCCTCCGGCGCCCCGGCGCTGCCTCTTCCTCGCCTGCCTTCCTTCCCCCTGGGCTCCCCGTTTGTTTTTCGACCTTCCTTTATATTAGGAACAATATCACAAGTGGGGGTGTACACCCCCTGCAATATTAGGAGTAATATTATCCTCTCTTTTTCTAGATATTAGAACAATATCACAGGGGAAGTATACATTCCCTGTGATATTGCGAGTAATATTCTCTCTCTCTTCTAAATATTTGCAACAATATCACAGAAAAGGTGTACAACCCCTACGATATTGGGAGTATTACTATTCTCTTCCCCCTGGATATTAGAAACAATATTACAGGTTAAATGTACACTTCCTGCGATACTGGGAGGAATATCATTCTCTTTTGCTCTGGATATTAGGAACAATGTCACAAGGGGGATGTACACTCTCTGAGATATTGAAAGTAATTTAATTATCTCCCCCCGCCCCCGGCTATTAGGAACAATATCACAGGGGGCGGTGTACACCCTCTGCAATATTTAGAGAAATATAATTCTCTTTCCCCTCGATTTCAAGAACAATATCACAGGGGATGCGTGTACACCCCCTGCGATATTGGGAGTAATATCATCCTCTGTCCCTCTAAATATTAGGAACAATATCATGGGTGGTGTACACACCCTGCGATATTGGCAATAATGTCATCCTCTCCTTTTCTGCATACTAGGAACAACATAATGGGGGAGTGTACACCTCCTGCAATATTAGGAGTAATATCATCTTCTTCCGCCATGGTTATTAGGAGCAATATCACAGAAGGTTTTATAACCCCTGTGATATTGGGAGTAATATCATCCTTCCCCCCACGTATATCCCAGCCTTGATATTAGGAACAATATTACAGGGGAGGTGTATACCCCCTGCTATAAGGGGAGTAACATAATCCCCTTTCTTCCTGGATATTAGGAGTAATATCACCCGTTTTCCACCTGAATATTAGAAACAATATCATAGGGAAGGTGTATATCCCCTGAGACATTGGGAGTAATATTATTTTCTCCTCGCTTGGATATTAGAAACAATATCACAGGGGGTGTGTTCACCCCCTGCGATATTGGGAGTAATATTATCTTCTCTCCTGCGGATATTAGGACAATATCACAAAGGGGGTGTACACTCCCTGGAATATTCACACTAACATCATCGTTTACTTCCCTGAATATTAGGGACAATATCACAAGGGGAGACTACACCCCCTGCGATATTGGGTGTAATATCATCGTCTCCCCCATGGATATTAAGAACAATATTATCGGAAGTGTGTACACTCTCTGCGATATTTGGACTAATATCATTTTCTCCCAACCTAAATATTAACAACAATATCACGGGGGTGTACAGCCCCTGCAATATTGAAAGTAATATTATCCTCTTCCCCCTGGATATTAGTAACAATATCACGGGGGAGGTGTACACCCCTTGCGATACTGGAAGTGATATCATCCTCTCCCAGTCTTGATATTAGAAACAATGTTACAGGGAGGCGTATACCGTCTGCTATAATGGGAGCAATATCATCCTCTTTCTTCCTGGATATTAGGAGAAATATCACAGGGGTTGTGTACAACCCCTGCGATATTGAAAGTAACATCATCTTCTTTCCCTCTGAATATTAGGAACGATATGATGGGGAAGGTGTACACCCCCTGCGGTATTGAGAGTGATATCATTTTCTCCTCGCTTGGATATTAGAAACAACATCACAGGAGGGGTGTACACCCACTGCGATATTGGGAGTAATATAATCCTCTCCCACCCCTGGATATTAGGAACAATATTAGAATATTAGGAAGGTGTACACTCCCTGGAATATTTACAGTAATATCATCCTTTCCTTCCCAGGATATTAGGAAAAATATCATTTTCTCCCAACCTAAATATTAATAACAACATCATAGAGGGTGTACAGCCCCTGCAATATTGAAAGTAATATCATCCTCTACCTCCCTGGATATTAGGAACAATATCACAGGGCATGTACACCTCCTGCGATATTGGGAGTAATGGCATCCTTTCCCATCCTTGATATTAGAAAAATATCAGAGAGGGGGTACACACTCCCTGCAAAAATTGAAAGTAATATCCTCTCCACCGCTGGATATTAGGAGCAATATAACGGGGGAGGGCCTGTATACACCCTGCAATATTGGGAGCAATATTATTTTCTCCTTCACTGGATTTTAGGAACAATATCACAGTGTGGGTGTAAACCCCCTGCGATATTGGGAGTAACAACATCCTCTTTCCCCATGGATATTAAATACAATATCACAGGAGGGGTGTACACTCTCTTCGATATTGGGAGTAATATTCTTCTTTCTTTTCCTTGATGTAAGGAACAATATCAGAGGGGGGTGTACACCACCTGCAATATTGGGAGTAATATCATCCTTTCCCTTTCTGGATATTAGGAACAATATCACAAGAAATGTGTACACTGGCTGCAATACTGGAAGTAATATAATCCTCTCCCTTCCTGGATATTAGAAACAATATCCCAAAAGGGATGTACACTCCCAGCGATATTGAAAGTCATATAATCGTCTGCTTCCCTGGATATTATGAAGAACATCACAGGGTGGGTGTCCACTTTCTGCGATATTGAGAGTAATATCTTCCTCTCTCCTCCTGAATATTACGAACAATATTGCATGGAGGATGTACCTCCCTTGCGATATTGGGAGTAATATCCTCCTCTCTCCCCCTTGATATTAGGAACAATATCATGGGGGAGTAGTGTACACATCCTGCGATATTGGGACTAATGTCATTTCCCCCCACTCGGATCATAGGAACAATGTAACAGGGAAAGTGCACACCCCCTGTGATATTGGGGGTAATATCATCCTCTCCCGCCCTGGATATTAGGAACAATATCACAGGGCGTTGTACTCCTTCTGCGATTTTAGGAACAATATCATACTGTCCCCTTTTGTATATTAGGAACAAATCACAGGGTTGTACGCCCCCTGCGATATTGAGAGTAATATTGTCCCATTCTCCCCTGTATATTAAGAACCATGTCACAGAGTGTGTGTACACCCCCTGCCATATTCTGAGTAATATCATCCTCTCCCCCTCCTGATATTAGGAACAATATCATAGGCATGGGTACACACCCTGCAATATTAAGAGTAATATCATCCTCTCCCTCCCTGGGTGTTATATCATCCTCTCTTCCACTGGATATTAGGAACAATGTCACAGAGAGTGTGTACACCCGTGTGATATTGAAAGTAATATCATCGTCTCCCTCCCTGGATATTAGGAATCCAAAGTCTTTTCCACAGCATTCTAATCCACATGGATCATTCTCAAAAATAGATCACATGGACACAGGGAGGGGAACATCACACACCAGGTCCTGTCAGAGGGTGGAGGTTAGGGGAGGGATAGCATTATGAGAAGTACCTAATGTAGATGACAGGTTAATGGGAGCAGCAAACCACCATGGCACGTGTATACCTATGTAACAAAACTGCACGGTCTACACATGTACCCCACAACTTAAAGTTTAATAAAAAAAAAAGTAGACCATATGTTAGGTCACAAAACACATCTTAAAATGTGAAAAAAAATTGAAATAATATCAAGCATCTTCTTGAACCATAGTGGAATAAAACTAGAAATTGATCACAAGAGGTATTTTGGAAACTATGTAAGTACATGGAAGTTTAAAAATATGCTCCCAAATGATCAGTTGCTCAATGAAGAAATTAAGAAAAATATTGAAAAATTTCTGACACAATTGATAATGGAAACACAACATAACAAAGCCTATGAGATACAGCAAAAGCAGAACTAAGAAGGAAGTTTATAGCTGTAAGTGGTTACATCTTATGACATAATGAGGACATGCTTACGTCTTATGGTGTAGAGAGGAAGAACTTCAAATAAACAATCTAACAATGCACATTAAAGAGCTAGAGAGGCAATAAGCATACCAAAGCTAAAATGAGAAGAAGATAGAATAAAGCTTAGAGTTTAAATAAATAAAATGGAAATAAAAAATACAGAAATCAATGAAAGAAGAAGTTGATTTCTTGAAAATTTAAACAAAATTAGGCTGGGCGCAGTGGCTCATGCCTGTAATCCCAGCACTTTGGGAGGCTGAGGCAGGTGGATTATGAAGTCAAGAGATCGAGACCATCCTGGCCAACATGGTGAAAACCCGTGTCTACTAAAAATACAAAAATTAGCTGGGAGTGGTGGCACATGCCTGTAGTCCCAGCTATTTGGGAGGGTGAGGCAGGAGAATTGCTTGAACCTGGGAGACGGAGGTTCCAGTGAGCCAAGATCACACCACTACACTCCAGCCTGGTGGCAGAGCGAGACAAACAAAAGAAAAAGTTCAACAAAATTAAGAAATTATTAGGCAGCCTAAGTAAGAAAAAAAGGGGCAGGATCCAAATAAATACAATCAAAAATGAAGAAGGAGACATTATAATTGGTACTGCAGGAACTCAAATGACGATTAGAGGCTACAATGGGCAATTATGTGCCAATAAATTTGAAAATCTAAAAGAAATGGACAAATTCCTAGATACACACAGCCTACCAAGATTAAATAAGGAACAAATTCAAAACATGAATAGACCAATAATAAGTAACGAGATTGAAGCCATAATAAACAGCCTTCCACTAAAGAAAAGCCCGGGGCCCAATGACTTCACTTCGGAATTCTACCAAATATTTAAAGAACCAACACCAGTCTTATTCAAATTATTCTAAAAAATAAAAGGGGATGGAACACTACTACCCAGATACCAAAACCAGACATAGACACATCAAAACAAACAAACAAACAAACAACAAAACAAAGAAAAAAGAAAAAAAAAGAAAACTGCAGGCCAATATCTCTGATGAATATTGATGCAAAAATCCTCAACAAAATACCAGCAAACGGAATTCAAGAATGCATTAAAAATTCATTTGTCATGATCAAGTGGAATTCATGCCCAGGATGCAAGGACAGTGCACCATATGGAAATCATCAACATGATACATCATATCAAGAGAATGAAGGACAAAAAGCATATGATCCTTTCAACTGAAACTGAAAAACGTTTGATAAAGTTCAACATCACTTCATAACAAAAACCCTGAAAAAACTACATACACAGGGAACATACCCCAACATAATAAAAGCCATAAATGACAGATGCACAGCTAATATCATACTGAATGAGGGAAAATGAAAGCCTTTCCTCTAAGATCTGGACGATAACAAGAAATAATGCAGCGCTTGAGGACATTTTTTATTCTTCTCTGTTTCTCTCGCTAAAGCATTTCCTACACAATATTTGGTCTCTGAACCATGGGGCAGAATGGTTCTTTTGCTTTGTTAATTTTATAGACACTTAAACTTAACAGGGTTCACCACTCCATACCAAAATTTGGTGAACCCCAAGGACCAAATCACATTATTGGAAGTAACAGTGAAACCCAAGCACACTTCCCACACACTGAAAATGCTGAGTTTGACCTGAGTCCTAGTATCCCAGCCAAGAGGGTTCCCAAAAGAAATGAATCCTCTAGGGCTTGCCACTAGGAGCCTTCTGTTGTCTTTCTGAGTGAGGGATAGGGTGCACAAGAAAGTTTTCTTCCACCTTCTTCTTTTTTTGTGTATGAGAAAGTGTTGGAAATAATTGCTTCTTCTTCAGTGCTGCAAGGAAGAATCAGCATTTAGACCAAAAGTTTTCTCAGCAAGACAACTTTAATTTCTTTAGAAAGGGTGTTGCTCATCAGCTGAGAGCACCCCAAACAAAGGGAGACAGGAATATTTATCTGTTAAGCATGAGGTCGCTACTGCTGTGTGCTATCTCCATTGGCTGGGGTTGGACCTCACAGTCTATGCTACATCCAACTGGCTAAGAACCTAAAACTGTCCTCAATAGGTAAAGATAGTGGAGACAAAGAAAAAGAGGAAGTTGCTTACAAGAATGCTTATAGGAGTAACAGCATTTCCCAATAAGGAAAGGATATAAGGTATGGGCTGGAACATGCCTGGGCACATTCACGCATGCCTGAGCTTGCTAGAACAAGCACTGAGGTTAGAGTATAAATATATATAATATGCTTCTTCCATTACTCTTGCCTCATAAAGCTTAACAAAGATTTACTACCATCAAATAAAGAAGCTTGAAGAAAGTGAGTTTCAAAGAGGATATATTAATTCCAACATTTATGATTTAAAGAAGAAAACTTTGAAGAGGAATGTTTTTATTTTCCACAGACAGATTATCACTCTAATGCCTAGGCTAGAGTGCAGTGGCATGATCTTCGCTCATTACAAACTCTGGCTCCCAGATTCAAGTGATTCTTGTGCCTCAGCCTCCCAAGGAGTTGGGATTACAGGCATGTGCCACAATAACTGGCTATTTTTGTATTTTTAGTAGAGTTGGGGTTTCTGCACATTGCCCAGGGTGGTCTCAAGCTGCTGGCCTCAAGTGATCCACCCAACTGGGGCTCTCAAAGTGCTGGGATTACAGGCTGAGCAACTGTGCCTGGCTGAAAGTGTCCATTCTAAAGATAGCAAAGGCAATGATTTTGTATCACTTCAGAATCCTTCCTTGAATGTTAGGCAGACTTCCTCACCCACTATCCCTGATTTGATTTGTGTATCCTTGCTAATGGGGGTTACAGCTATTAATTTTATTTTTGTAATTGCCATTGTTTGGCTATTTGGTGACACATAGTTCTTGTTAACTGGTGGTTGTCAATTTGAAGAATCCAAGAGCAGGTGGAGATGCCTCAGGATGAAAATAGAAAGCCTCCAGACATGGGAGAAAGAAGGGTATATACACCTCCCGAAAGGTAGATGGGGGGCAGTGTACTTGCACAACTCACTCTCCAGAATGGGCTTGGCAGTGTCCCAGTGGAAGACTATGGTAGATGATCAAGAAAACAAAAAGTCTGCGGAAGGAGTTGAGGGTCGCAGAGGGAGGAGAATCTATTGCAGAATACACAGTGCAGACAGAATACTCAAGGGCATGGATGAAGTGTCCTTACAATGAAGGCTGAGGGTCTGAGAATTGGATATGAGGCCATTCAGGAGAGGATGGGAGTCTGAATCTGTTTTCTGCTTAGAAGTCCCTCCAGGACACCAGCTTGAGACAAAGGTTGGAGGTATAGGCATTGCAGGATGAGGGTCAGCCTTTTCCAGTGGCCAGGTCTGGCAAAGGTAAGATGAGAGCAGCTTGCTGTCAATGTGGCTCTGGCTTGGGTATTGTGAGCATTGTCAGGGAAGGCTACAGAGAGTCAGATGAGACCTGCAGGAGCCCATGGCCTCCTAGAGACAAGGCATCAATTTAGCTAGGTGTTATAGTGTCACCACTATGACCTGGGAGTTACAGTGTCACCACTAGAGACCCAACAGCAGGATGTGGAACTGAGAAGTGGTTGATTGGTTGTTCATGGGCAGGAATATGTGGGTGTTTTGGTTTGAGTAAAGAGTGGGCACACCTTAGAGAATGAAGCCCCCAAAACACCAGAAAATTGGACAGGGTAGGGAGCCTAGGTCCTGGATGGCTGGGGGCAAGCTCCAGGTGGAGTGTAACTCTGAGGGCATCAGATATTTTCTGACTCAGTTGTCATATGGGCCATATGGCACATATATGGCACATAGGGAACATATTGCACACTTCTCTTGCAGTAGCCTGCTAGTGGGTGGACAATATCCTGTGCACTGAACAGAGGCAGCAAGTGAGCAGAACAACTCATCATGACGGCTTTTTGTCCTTGTCTCCATGCAAGCCAGGTGTTATTTCTGTGGTTTCGGACGTTGGTATTGATGCACGGTTTTTTAAATGGGGAGGCTAAAGTCCCAGAGTTTGGTAGACTGCACCTCTCCAGATGAGATTTTAAGAGCCCCCGATTTTCACACATGGGGAGAGTGATTGCCCTCACAAACTCTTCCTCCTCATTGTGGTTTCTAGGTTTTCACTTTGTCAGACATTTTGAGTTTCGATCACAAACACTCCACGTTCACATCACCCATGCATGCTGCCCACCCGTATCCACAAGGCTGCTGTGTCTACTCTGCTCCTGTTTTCCAAAGCACCCCTTCCATCAGGAAATGTGCCTTCCATTCCTAGGGATGTCATGATTCCCAGCTTTCATATCTCCTCACAGAGGAGGTTCCCAAATTACTCTGGGTTCTCAGTCCAGAAGTTGAGCTTTTAAAACCCTTTTCTGTCATATGGTCAGTCCGTTGCAGGGTGCAGCCCCTCAGCAGCCAAGATTCCCTGTGGATAGCTCTTCAATCTGATTGCCTGGGCTTTCTCCATCATGAAACCTTTCATCTCCTTGGTCCTTGTCACACACCCCGAACCCCAAAATAGAAAAGCCACAACAGAATGAAGTAGATGAGAAACAATCTCCTTGTTTATAATTCCGTTTATTTCCTCACATACCAGCCAAGCTTCTCAGTCAGGCAGACACAATAGATGGAATGGCAAGGGAAGTGAAGAGTGGAGGCTGCATCCCTTCAGCCGCCAGCTGATGTTCTGCTTATTTCGCATACCGGAACTCCCAGGCGTCCTCAAACCACAATCACAGTTGTTGGTTCCAGAAACATCTTCTTTGGAAAAACATGTGACATCAGTTTCCTCAGAGTCTTCCGGACAATCCAGTCACACAGAACTGACAAAACCTTGTCAGGTGAGAAGATAAGGATCTTCTTCAATACAGAATATGTCAACATCTCCTTCTGAATAGTTCCGTTTATTTGCTCACATACCAGCCAAGCTTCTCAGTCAGCAGGCACAATAGACTGAATAGGAAGGGAAGTGAAGAGTGAAGTCTGGATCCGTTTAGCCTCCAGCTGATGTTCTGCTTATTTCCTGTACTGGAACTCTCAGAAGTCCTCAAACCACAATCACAGTTGTTGGTTCCAGAAACATCTTCTTTGGAAAAACATGTGACATCAGTTTCCTCAGAGTCTCCCGGACAATCCAGTCACGCAGAACTGACAAAACCTTGTCCAGTAAGAAGGTAAGAATCTTCTTCAATAGAGAATATGTCAACGTCTCCGTGAACGAAGAGATCTGCTGGTTCCAAGGACTTGTCGTGGATTTCTGTCCTAGATACTTTCTTCCGTAATTCAAGATAAAGAAAATTACAATCTCTGCTGTCCATTCCATCGCTTTTCCCTTCAGAATCATAATCAGAGAATCCTTGCAGAACGTCGTGAGTGTGCTCTCAGCTGCAATCACCAGAAGGACTCTTCACACTCGGTGAGTCCTCCTCATTTTATAGAAGCCAAAGCAATGACGTATGCTCACCCCTCCCGCCCCCAGGAGAGAGGTTGCTGGCCAATGAGCTTGAGCTTCGTCATCCTTCCAAGCCCCACCCAGTTCCTTTGCTTCCCTTTCACCAACTTTGACTGAAATGAATAGGTTACAACCTTTAGCTTTCTGCCCCTTGGAAAACGGAAGCATTTAGACATCCGTATTAATATTTGGATCTAGAGTGTTCGTGTTTTAGCACTTCCTTTTTTGAAAGGAGAAGCAGACGTGTTGTGTTTTTAGGAACACTTCCAAGAAGTTTCTCCTCCTCTATGATGAAACCAACACAAGAAAGCCAAAAGGGCGTTTAACCCCTTGAAGCACTGAGAGTTTCCCTGCTGATATTCTTAGACTGTTCTTTTTCTAAAACGAGAAAGAGGTAAGTTCCCTCTTTTTTTTTTTTTTACACTGCCTGGACAGTTGTATTCTTTTTTTTTTATTTTTATTTTTAGCATCACAGCTAGCAATATGCCTTGCCTGTTAGGCAACCAACACAAAAGAAATAGAAGCCACAGAGCGTTTAACCCTTTGAAACACAGAGATCTACAGTGTTTGTGTCTCAAGAGCTTCAGTTTTGTAAAAGGAGAAGGAGAAGGTGTTTTCTTTTAGCTACGCAGACACATCACCTAATCTTTAATGAAACCAACAAACAACAGGAAAGCAAAGTCACAATTTAACCCTTTGAAATATCTAGTCACACTCTGCTGATGTTTTCAGCTTCGTTTTTTTAAAAGGAGAAAGGGATATGTTGTTTTTTTTAAAGCACTGCAGCCAGCAAATTGCCTCTTTTCTATAATCCAACAAAAAAGCAGTAATGCCAAGACAGCCTTTAACCCTCTATAGCGTTAAAACCTGCGTTGCTGGTATGTTGACACTTTGTTTTTCTGAAAGCAGAAAGTCGTATTTTTTTTTTAAAGAGCACAGATAGCAACTTGCTTTGTCTTTAACAAAACAAGCAGAGAAGAAGTAAAGCCAAAGCAGCATTAAACTGGTTTCAACTTGGAGATTTACTATGTTCCTGTTTTGAAAGCTTCGTTTTTCTACAAGGAGAAGGAAATATGTTATCTATTAGCTACACAGTCAGGTTGTTCAGTTTGCTGCCAATGAAACCTACAAAAATCAGAAAAAAACAAGATGCCATTTAATATGTTAAAGCATTTAGACCTGCTCTGGTGATGTTTTGAGCCTTTGTTTTTCTAAAAGAAGACGCATTCTTTTTACTACACAGCCAAGATGTTCACTCCTGCAATGAAACCATCTCAAAGCCCCTGAAGTCCAGACATCTCTTAAGCTATTGAGGCATTAAGAGCTGTACTGCTGATGTTATCATCACTTCATTTTTCTAAAAGGAGAATGAAATATGTTTTGTTTTAGCCACAGATCTAACATGTTCACCTTGCCTCTTCTGAAACCAACAGAAAAGCAATAAAGCTAAGACTCCATTTAACCCTTAGAGCAACTACACCTGCACTGCTGATGTTTGGAGCACTTAATTTTTCCAAAAGAAGAGAGTCCTAGGTTTCTTCCTTCCTTCCTTCCTGCCTCCTCCCTTCTGTCTGCCTTACTTCCTTCCATTTTCCCTTTCTTTCTTTCACACTCTCTCCTTCCTTACTTCCTTCCTGTCTTTCTTTCTTTCTTTCTTTTTCTTTCTCTTTCTTTTCCTTTCTTTCTTTCCCTTTCTTTCTTTTTCTTTCTTTCTTTCCCTTTCTTTCTTTACCTTTCTTTCTTTCCCTTTCTTTTTCTTTCTTTCTTTCCCTTTCTTTCCCTTTCTTTCTTTTTCTTTCTTTCTTTTTCTTTCTTTCCCTTTCTTTCTTTCCCTTTCTTTCTTCCTTTTTCTTTCTTTCTTGCAACAAAACTAGCAATATCCCTTATGAAACTAACATTAAAGAAGTAAAGCCAAGACAGTGTTTAACATTTTGAGGCCTTGAGACCCACTATTTTTTGCTTTGAGCACCTTATTTATCTAAATGGTCAAAGGTATTTTTTCCTTTTTGAAAAACACACCGGGCAATAGGCCTTGCCTCTTCGGAAATCAACTAAAAATGTAGGATCAAGACAGCCTTAGCACAATTTACAATTACAAAAATTTGGAACCAATCCAAATGCTCATCAATCAATGAGTGGATAAAGAATCTGTGGTATATATATATATAATGGAATACTACTCAGCCATAAAAAATAAATTAATGATAGTTGCAGCAACCTGGATGAGATTGGAGATTATCATTTTAAGTGAAGTAACTCTAGCATGGAAAAGCAAACATCATATGTTCTTGCTTATAGGTGGATGCTAAGCTATGAGGATACAAAGGCATAAGAATGACACAATGGATTTTGGAACTTATGGGGAAAGGATGGGAAGCGGGTGAGGGATAAAAGACTACAAATTCGGTGCAGTCAGGTGATGGTTGTACCAAATTTCAAAAATCACGACTAGAGAACTTAGTCATGTGACCAAACACCACTTGTTTCCCAATAACTTATGGAAATAAAAGTTTTTTTTAAAAAAGGGAATGCCTTCAATCTGATAAAGGACATCTACAGAAAGCTTAAAAGTGATATTATACTTAATATTCAAATGTTGAATATTTTTTCTCTGTTATTTGGAATAAGACAAGATGTCTATTTTCACTAGTTTTATTCAGTGTTGCACTGGAGTTTCCAGCCAGTGTAATAATACAAGCAAAATGAAAATACATAGATTTTATGTTAAGTGGTTTACCATGATAAAGTAAAATCAAGTTAAAAAAAGACAGCCTTTAACTGTTTGGCAAGAGTTAACTCATTAGCCACTACAGTGTTTGTGTTTTGTGGGCTGCATTTGTTTTTGAAAATCATTCAACATTTATTGAGCATCTGCCAAGTGCCAGACATAATACCAGGCACTGAGGAAGCTATGTTGAATACCATGTGGTCCCTGTCCTGACACAGTTAAATCCTATTGGAAGAGAAAGACAAACCCACACACTGATTAACATTCAGAGTGATAACTGTGAAATCACACCCCAGGTGAGCTAAGTCCCAGGCAGAACACTTGGACTACACTTTGGAAGACAGGGAAGAGCTTGACACCAAAAACAAGGGGGAAAGGAAGGCATGCATAAAGCACGAAGTGGGATGATGTGTTGGGGAAACTGCAGGTTGATCAGAATGACTCCAACAAAGTAAACCAAACACTTTGGCCTTTATCTTACAAGATGCGGAAGCCCTCACAGGAGAGTAACAAGGTGATATTTGTTTTCTAGGTAAGTGTCAGATCCTTTCTACCACCCTAGATCACTCTTTCTTTCAACACACATTCATTTAGACAGGATTTGTCCCAATATCTGTCTTGAGATTTCTGTTACTTTCAGTCTCTCAGATACTGGTGAGGACCCAGTCTTGTCTAACAGAGTGGAGATTAATATAGTCCAACCCTGTGGCTCCAGTTACAGGGAGAAATGTGATAAAGGAGTGATGAAAGCTGTGAAGGATTTTTTTTTTATTCTGATAAGGGGCAATACCAAGACACTTGGCAGAATATATTTCATCATCTTGTGTTATTATCAATGCTGAGTTTCAACATTGCAGCAAGTTGTTTGTTTTCTTATCTTCCATCCTGCAAACCCAAGAATGTTTGTTAGTTACTGTTTTCTGTCACTCCTTGGGGGCACAGATTTAAAATCATACAATTGTGGCCTTCATATCTGGCATCTCCTTCTTAACATAACGCTTTCAGGGTTCCTCCGTGTTGTATCATGCACAGTTTACCATTCCCTGTTAAGGCCGAATGAAATATTCCATTTTGAGAATATAGCCTATTTGTTTATTCATTTACCAGTTGATGGATATTTGCATTGTTTCTGCATTTTGGCTATTAGGAATAATGTTGTTATATATAAGATTTTTGGGGACCAGATGATTTCATTTCCCTTGGGCATATACCTAGTGTTTGAATTGTTGTATTGTATGGTAAATTATGCAACAGTTTCAATAACTGCCAGACTGTTCTCCAAAGCAGCTACAGCATTCTACATTCTCGGCAGCAGTGTACTGGGGCAAGGAGATTCCTTTTTCTTTGCATCATCTTCAACACTTGTTATCATCTGTCTTTGTGACTGAAGTCATCCCAGTGGATGTGTGGTGATATCTCATTGTGGTTTTCATTTGTGTTTCATTTATGTTAATAATGTTGACTCTCTTTTATGTAGTTACTCGTTATTTGCATATCTTGGGACATCTGTCTATTCAGATTCTTTTTGTACTGTCTTTTTTTCTCTTTTTTTGGACAGTGTCTCTCTCTATTGCTCAGGCTGGAGTGCAGTGGCATGATTACAGCTCACTGCAACCTCAGTGCAACCTCAACCCCTTGGTAGCAGGGATTGCAGGCATTACACCATCATGCCCAGCTTATTTTCTTATTTTATATTATAACTTTTTTTTAAAAAAAGTAAAGACAGAGACTCGGTATGTTGCCCATGCTGTTCTGGAACTCTTGGGCTCCAGTGATTCCCCCACTTCAACCTCAAACTCTGTCTCAAAAAAAAAAAAAAAGCATGAGCAACTGTGCCCAGCCTGTCTATTCAGATTCATTGGGTGTTTTTAAATAGAGTTATTTTTGTTTTTCTTACTATAGAGTTGGGCATGTTCTTTGTATATCTTAGATATAAGTTATCAGATATGTCACTGAAAGAAATTTTCCTTCATGTTCTTGATTACTTTCTATTTTATGATGAATTGTATTGAAGCACAAATGATTTAAATTGGAGTGGGCTTCAGTTTAACTATTTTGTTGTTGTTGTTGCTTGTCCAAAATGTATTTTATGCTATTTTTCTCTGAACACCTAAGAAAGGGTCCAAAATAGCAAATGGTATTAATCTAGAGCAGCACCCCCTTTGTACATCGTTGCCTGTGTATAGGACCCATGCTGGTGGTTTTTGGGGCTCCCCATCTGGGTCTGTCTGGGTTTTGTAGTGCAGTCTGTGTCCTGCCCCTTCATTTCCACTTTCTGGGGTAAAGTCTAGACTCAGTGGTGTTCATTGAAAAAGTTGGGATGAGCCCCTCAGGGTGCGGCTCTGGGGCTTATGCTAAACTCATCTGGGCCACTGTCGGCAGGTGAGGATCTTTGCAGTGAGTTGAATGGGGCCCCCAAAAGTTATGTCTACATTCTAACATGTGGAATTTGTCAATGTGAACTTACTTGGAAAAGGTTGTTTGCAGATATACTTACATTAAAGATGTTGAGGTGAGATCATCCTGGGTTATCTGGGTGAGTCCTGGATCCAATGATGAGTATCCTGATAGAGAAAAGAAGAAGACACACAAAAGAGAAGGCAAGAAGAAGGCAGAGATTGTAGTGGGGCAGCCACCAGCCAGGGAATACAGATGCCACCAAAGGCTGAAAGTGGCAAAGAAGGGCACGTGTAGAGGGAGCGCCATTCTGCCAGTTCTATGATTTTGAATTTCTGGCCTCCAGAGCTATGAGGAAACAACTTTCTGTTGTTTTAAGATACCAAGTTGTAATATTTCATCATGGAAGCGTCCAAAAACAAATGAACAAACCTGGGAGGAGAAAGAGGGTGTGCTTTGTATTGACTGAGATGAAAGCCACTGAGTCCTCATTTTTCAAGAAGCAAGTTTGAAAAACCTGCCTAAAAGTGATAACCAGTTATCAATAGTAACTTTAAATCCTGACTTTTAGAGAGGATGGTGGTTCTTTCCAGAGAAGCTGCTGCTGTTTTGGACAAACCTCATCAGCGTAGCCTTATACATGGAAAGTCAGGAACATTCCTGGGATCACTGTGGAATAGACACACAAGAACACAGGAGCAGCATGGTAGTCTTGTGTCATCATAGGATATGAGAGAAGAGAAGCCTCAACAAGAGGAAGGAAGGAACTGGTTGTACTCACAGTGTCACTCTCAGGGATGGAAGAATAATATCATTGTTCCAGCTTCAGTGCGGCTGCAGAACACCACGTTACAAGTCTGCTTGGGGTTTTAGGTGATTCATATCAAAACACAATGTGTGCTCTGTGCAGGCTTCACACAACTGATTGAGATCCATGAAAGAAGCCTAAACTTCTTAGGGCATGGCCATAGGACATATAATAGTGATGAATATGTTTACTGTTTGTTTTTTTGACATTGGGGGGCATGGAATTAATAACTCATATTGAGGCAGGAGAATAGGGAATTAGGGTAACCAAGGGTTAAGGCAGAAGCAAAAGAAAAGGAGGCGCAGCCAGTTCTAGGCAAGATTAGGCAGCATCCAGGCCACATCCTCACTATAATGAGACAGAAGGCTCCAATTCAGCCTCTGACCACAAGCCAGGTCTCCACTTCAACCTCTGAATGGTTGCAGGCTCATTCTTCATGTGGTGTAGTCAACTGGAGGCCTCTCAGGGCACCTCAGGGTGTTACCAACTTCTTTTAGCTTAATAGAACCCTCCAAAAACACGCTAATTGGGGCCCTTGAGCCACTTGCTCGAGTTTGCTCGAGTTTTTGGGGGGGTGTGGCTATTGTATGTTTTTAGAAAATGGGTTTTTTTCCCCTTTAGTTTTTTTCAAAAGTTTTTTTACTCCATTGAAAACATTATGCTATCCAGGGATTTGTTTATTTCATTTATAAATATCATCAATAAATTATTAGCAGATGTTGTGGCTGATTGTGTTATGCATGAGATAAGAAAATTCCTACCACAGCAATTAATAGCTGGTGCAAGAGAAAGTCAATTGGCCGGATGAGCGAATATCTAATTCAGGAAATGCTGATATGTTTATAAAGCCAAACCCCTGCATTTTTATACAACCAGGTATACAAGAAATATGTCCAAAACAAAACATAGATCATCAGAAAGGTGATGCTTCACCAGCAGTTGCTTGGTCATCATCCAGCCTCCCGAAGGAAGACAATGGCCTCAAAACTGCAGAAATAAAGTGTTTCTTAACCACAACACAGACTGATGACTGTTTCTGTGGTGAATTGCCGCCCATGTTGGAGTGAGTCTCTGAGCTGTATGCTGAGGAGGGAAGGCTCTCGATCTGGAGAGCAGCCATGAGAGGAAAAGGAGGTCTCCATGGGGTCTGAGAGGCTGAGGGCCATGAGCCTGCCTGGGTTCAGGGAATGGGAAGGTTTCAGAGAGTACAATTCTGAAGTTGAATCCTGGGGGTGTTTGAGAACCTCCTGCCTCAGGAGGGAAAGCTCCAAGGAAGAAAATGGACAAACCATGAGGGCTGTGAGGGGCATTTCCTAATTTCTGATCAATCAAACCAGGAACAGAGTAGAAATGGCCTCCTTGAAGAGTGAGGTGTGTCAGTCAATAGCACCCAGAACCAGTCCATCAGGAGGGAAGCATTCAAGGGACCCATTTTGGTTGGGTCAGAGGAAAGGTGAAGCTCTGCAACCACAGACAAAGCCCTGGCAGGGAGAAAGTGAGCTTGGACAGGCCCTGCACACTATGAGGTGTTGGAGCCTCCATCTCCCTCCACAACACCTATTTTCTCCATTCTTCTGGGATCCAGGCATTCGCAGGCATTGGGTCCCTCATTCACCACTCCCCATCCCGTGATTCTTCTGGACTCTGCCTACTCCACCATCTTGCAGTCTCTCAACTCACCTTCCCCACCCTTCTGGAGTCACCGAGTCTCCAGGCACTGCCAAAACGTGGGGTGGACACCGTCTTTCCTTTTTCCTGTTCACTGGATTCTTTGGGCTCTTCACTGTCCAAATTCTTTTGGGCCTTGGATGGCTGCTGTCTCCACCCCATGCCCCATTCCCCATTCTGGGGGCTAAGCCCTCTCCCACACCTCCCATGCCTTCTGGGCCCTCAACCCCTCCTCCTGTCACTCCTTTATTTCAGATTCCTATTCAGACTCTGCTGGGGTCTGCTATTGGTTACTGACGACCAAACCTTTTTGTGGCCTTACTAATTGGCCAGCTGGGTTGAAGGATGGCTTAAAGGACACAGGTGGGGATTTTGCTTTTCCCCAGTCTGCCTCACCCACCCTGGCTATGTTGCTGAGGTGGAAACTAACAAGCAAAGAAAAATAAAATAAAAGAGAAAAGTAAGCTTTCCATATTAGGCTCACTCATCCCAAAGGCAGTAACAGGCAAAGCCCAGACCCAGGCAAAATCTTGATAACATTATCTAAAAGCCAAAGCTCAAAAGAATGTGCTCTGGAGATTCTCCCAGCACTCCCTAAATATAGGGAGAAGAAAACAAATTTCCCCTTCTCTTATGCTATGAGCAAACCTATGAGTTTATAGATTCCTGTTTTCTATAATAGTAACTTCAAGTATTCTGTCTTTTATCTAAGGAGCATAGTGATGGTTATTAGATGCCCAAGTGAACCTGAATTGTAGCCACTTAGGTGCCATAACGAAGGTTGTGAGATAAGCCCGTGGAAGACACTTGAGTGAACCTAGATAACAGCTATCTGGACCACATAGCAACAGATATGTGTAAGCCTGAGTTATGAACCTGCCACAAGTTGATTGTCTTTGTTCTGCTTCTGTACATGAGCTTTTGCACCACTATGCTTTGCGCCACTGTAAGCTTGTTTCAAACTAGCCAACCCCCTTCTTAGAAGTGTGTATAAAAGTCAAGTGCTGTCTTTGTTTGGGGCTCAGTCTTTTGGATGTGAATCCACTGAGCCTGAGTGCACTCAACAAATCCTCCTGTTTCACCCAGTGATCTCTCTGGTCCTCCTGATTCCCTCAACATTGCCATTGCTAGACCCAGTTCCTTCTTTCAGAAAAAGCTGCCCAAAACTCTCTCTGCTCAGTGCTGGGCACTGGAAAACACTGGCCCTCTCTCTGGAAAACACTATCTGCCATCTCTAGGGCCCACTACAGGTCTGCCCAGCATTTTCATCCCTTCCTCAAGTCTGGTGCCCAGGACCCTCCTCTGCTCTGACAGCCAGGCAGCAGCACTCAAACTCCCCTCCCCTCTTAGCCTTCATACCTTCAGCTGCACTTCTGCCTCTGCAGTGTCAGGATGACCTCCCCTTCCTCCTGTCCTTCCTCATTCTTAAGACTTCCTACCCCTTCTGGATTAATTTATGGAAAACCTAAATAATCTCTTTCAAATTTTAGCCCACTTTTTACATGTAGATTGTTTTATAAGATGAATTTTAACAAACCTTTTCTAAGTTGTTCAACCATTTTCTTTTGTCTTTTTGTTATTTTATTTCCTGAATTTAAAATATTTGAAAACCTCTAAACTTGACAAAACTAATTTTTTCATAAAAGCTATGTTCTCATGTCCTTTTATAAACTTTGACTTAAAATATATTTTACTTGTTCAGTCAGATTTGTGTGTGAAAATTTTTAAGTAGCTTTAGATACAAATATTAATTATAATGGTAACTCTTAAGTATGCATTTTTAGTAAACCACTTAGGAGACAACCAATTTTAATTATGTCCTTGATGTAGAGCTTAAAGAAAAAGATGGAGCTGTAGAAAACATCTTAGTCTTGAAATATCTTACTCTTCCCAGTATAAGGGGGGGCATGGCCCTATTTCACAGGTGCCCAGGCCTTAGCTAGAAATGGATGGTTCCAAGACATGTCAAAAAACTGTTTGAAAGGTTTTAGAAGTTGTTAATGACATGAAAATATTTAGTAAAGGCAGTATTTGATCTGTCTAATTTGGATCCAATATCTAAACTCTGAAGACATATTTATTTTATTTTGCTAATTTTAAAAGTGGCTTTATTTTTTAAAATAATGTTTATGTTTCTTTCAATAGTGTGTGGAATATATGTGGTTTTTGGTTATGTGGATAAAAGTTCCTTAGTGGTAATTTCTGAGATTTTGAGGCATCTGTCTCCTGAGCAGTGTATAATATACCCAATATGTCATCATTTATTCCTCATCCCCCTCCCAACCTTTCCCCCTGAGTCCCCAAGTCCATTATATCATTCTTATGCCTTTGCATTCTCATAGCTTAACTCTCATTTAAAAGTGAAAACATTCAATATTTGATTTGCCATTCCTCAGTTACTTCACTTAGAATAATGGCTTCCAGTTCCATCCAACTTGTTGCAAAGGACATTATTTTGTTCCTTTTTATTATCAAGTATTATTCCATGGTGTACCACATTTGCTTTATCCACTCGTTCGTTGATGGGCACTTAAGTTGGTCCCATATCACTGCAATTGCGAATCGGCTGCTATAAACATCCATATTCTTGTGTCTTTTTTATGGAATAACTTCTTTTCCTTTGGGTAGATAGCCAGTAATGGGATTGCTGGAATGAATGGTCTACTTTTAGTTCTTTAAGGAATCCCCATACTGTTTACCATAGTGGTCGGACTAGTTTAAATTCCCACTAGCAGTGTCAAAGTGCTCCCTTTTGACCACATCTATGCCAACATCTATTGTTTTCTGACTTTTAAATTATGGGCTTCTAGCAAGATTAAGATAGCATCTCATTGTGGTTTTGTTGTGGGATTTAGGAGGATGAGAGAGAGGCTTTGGGTTAAAACAGGAGAATCTTTTATTGAGTGCTCTCAGGCCCAGCAGACTCACGTCCAAAGACAGGGCCTGGAACAAAGACAGCACTTGACTTTTATACACACTTCACAAAAGGGGGTGGGCCAGCTTGAAGCAAGCTTACAGTGGTGTGAAAGCAGGGATACAGAGGCAGGAAAAAGACAGTTAATCAAATTGTAACAGGTTCATAATTCAGGATTGCACATAACTGTTGCTATGCAACCCAGATGTCTATTATCTAGGTTTTGCTCTAAAGAGGCTTGCATTGGTTTATCTTCACTATGGTGCCTAGAGAGCTGTAGTTCAGGCCTGCTCAGGCTTCTCATGACCTTTGCCATACTTCTTAGATAAAACAGAATACTTGAAGTTACTAGTTAAAGAGAACAAGAATCTATAAACTCATACCATAAAACAAAGGAAAATTTGTTTTTCTTCTCCCTACATTGAAGGAGTGCTGGAAGAGTCTCCAGAATACAATAAATAATATTATCAAGACTTTTCCTGGGTCTGGGCTGTGCCTGTTGCTGCCTCTGGGACAAGTTAGCTTAATACAAGAAAGCTTATTTCCCTTTCTTTTTAATTTTATTTTTCTTTAATTTCCCACCTCAGTTTTACTTTGCATTTCCCTGAGAATTTTTAATAAGTAAAATACTTAGAAATATACTTAACCAAGTAGGTTAATGTAAGTTTCCTACAAGGAAAACTACAAAATAGTGCTGAAAGAAATCACAGTTGACACAAACAAATGGGAACACATTATAAGCTTATGAATAGGTAGAATCAATATTGTGAAAGTGACCATACTCTCCAAAGCCATCTACAGAGCAGTAGAATTCTCATCAAAATATCATCATTCTCCTTCCCAGAACTAGAAAAAAGAATCCTAAAATTTATACAAAACCAAAAACGTGACCGCATATCCAAAGCAATACTTTGCAAAAAGAACAAATCTGAAGGCAGGCTTTAAATTATACTACAAGGCTACAATCACCAAAATAGCATGATACTGGTATAAAATATGCACATAGAGCAATAGAACAGAATAGAGAACCCAGAAATAAAGCCAAATGCTTACAGACAACTAATCTTCAACAAAGTACACAAAAACATTAATTGGGGAAAGGATACTTTATTCAATAAATGGTGCAGGAAGTATAAAAATAGGCACATAGAGCAATGGAACAGAATAGAGAACCCAGAAATAAAGCCAAATGCTTACAGACAACTAATCTTCAACAAAGTATGCAAAAACACTAATTGGGGAAAGGACACTTTATTCAATAAATGGTGCAGGAAGTATAAAAATAGGCACATAGAGCAATGGAACAGAATAGAGAACCGAGAAACAAAGCCCGGTACTTTCAGTCACCTGATCTTTAACAAAGCATATAAAAACTTCCATCTAAGACCTGAAAGTCTAAAAATGCTACAAGATAGCATCCAAAAAGCTTTTCTAGACATTGGCTTAGGCCAAGTAGTCATGACTAATGCCCCAAAAGCAAACGCAAAAATATAAAAATAGAATAAGATCAATAGGACCTAATGAAACCGAAAATCTTCTGCAAGGCAGAAGAAATATCAGCAGGGTAAACACACAACCCACAGTATAGGAAACAGTAGTCACAAACTAGGCATCTGACAAAGGACTAATGTCCAGACTCCAAAGGAACTGAAAGAAATCAGCAAGAAGAAAAGGTGCCATTTACCACCTTCCTGACTCATTGGCCAGAACCAATGTTAGTGGAATTAACATATGCCCCACCCCAAGTGACTTCTAAAGGGCTAACTCACCACAAGGGAGTCAGAGCAGATCTTGGACTGAGACCTACAGGACACAGGTACTGCTTTTTCTCTTTTATTTGTTTTAAATTTTATTTATGTTTTTAGATCAAATAGTTCAGATTGCATTGGTTTTTAATCTGCTGTTGTTGGATTAACATATGCTTTAAGCGACTCTTAAATAGGTGGCTCACCAGGAGAAAGGCATAGCAGAACCTGGACTGAGACCTACGGGAGACAGGTATTGCTTTTTCTCTTCTAATCATTTTAAATTTAATTTACCATCTTTCATCAAATAGCTCCGATCATATCATTATTTTTTCTTTTCTGTTTTGTTGGTGGTTTTATTGGTGGAGTTTTATTTTACTATTTTAGAAAAGCAGTCTTTTAAAAAAGACTTTTAAAAAGTTTTATTACTCTTTTTTTAAAAAAAAATTATGTTTTCCCTTGATGTGCTTATTTCCTTTATAAAGATCATCACCATTAAATTACTAGGAGATACTGCGGCTGATTTTGTCATGCGTGAGATAAGAAATTTTTTGCCAAAGCAATTAGTGATGAGTGCAATGGAAAAATCCGTGATGATCTTTTAAGATGATTAACTTTCTAATCCAGAAAATGCTGCTGTTTGTACTGAACAAAATAGCTTTATTTTTATATGACCAGGGGTACATAAAATGCTTCAAAACAACACATAATTTGGCAAAAATACTATGTCTTGCCAGCCAGAAGAATAAGTGTGGTTTTATTTCTATGTATATGTCTAGTACCATGCCTGCACTAGAGTTGGGAAATTTTAAAAACATCACCTATTGATACAGAAGAGAAGTGCTGGGAAGGGAAGGGCATGGTCCCTTTGAATGATACGGAAAAGGTGAAGGAAAGTGATGGGTAGAGGAGGCCGGGGTCCCTGGCTAGGGCTCCAAACCTGGGCTTGTGCCCCTGGACCTAGATGAGGACAGGCATTTTTGTTTTCCTGACCAAATGTTGCATTTCCCAAGATCACCCTGGCCCACCATGCCCTATCCTGTGCCTAAAAAAACCCTGGGACCCTAGCAGGCAGACACACAGGAGGTTGGACGTCGAGAGGAGCACATCAGTGCAAGAACACATGGGTGGCTGCCACTTCTCTCCCTTTCCTGAGAGGGAAAAACTCTCGACGCTGAGAGGAATCCACCAACAGGCACCAGCACTCTGGCAGGCCACCGACCAATGGATTGACATAGAGTTTGGCTGGGGCAGCCAGAGGAGAGCCTGGGCCGCTGAATAACCCGACTTCAGGGGAAAACTATTCTCCCTTTTGGCTCCCCCATCTGCTGAGAGCTACTTCCACTCAATAAAACCTTGCACTCATTCTCCAAGACCACGTGTGATTTGATTTTTCTGGTACACCTAGGTAACAACCGCGGGTTACAGAAAGCCCTCTGTCTTTGGGTTAAGGAATGGGTCTAATTGAGCTGGTTACCACAAAGCCACCTATAGATGGCAAAACTAAAAGAGCACATGGTACCACATGTCCACTGGGGCTTCAGCAGCTGTAAACATCTACCCCTAGATGCTGCCATGGGGTTGTAGCCCCACAACTTGCCAGTCTGTATGCTTCCCTAGAGGTTTGAGCAGCGGAGTACTAAAGAAGCAAGCCACACCCCCACTCCACCTCCTGTGAGGGGGACAAGGAAACTTTTCCCATTTCAACTGGTGGCTCGTCTGGGATCTCGGAAGGTGAGTGTGAGTGAATGGGAAACTGTTGGGCCTGCCTTTCTTCCAAAACTCTGCCACTTCTCTCCCTTTCCTGCAGGTAAAAGACTCTGTTTTCCTTTCATCTCTTTTCTCTCTCACACATTATTTGAAATGGATCTTATCTCTTCCTTTATAATGTTAAGAGTTTTGCTACAGGCTGAGGCAATGTTACTAAGTAAAATGAGCATTTGGCTCAGCCGCCAAAGGTGCAAATCAGACCAATTTTTCCTAGAGGTGCCATGTATGCCTCCACCTTGACAGCCCCAGGCATGAGCGGCTTCCAGGGCACCTCTCCTTACCCTTTTCCCTCCCAGCTCCAGCACCTAGGCATGCCTGCAGCAGGCAAAGGCCACACCCAATAGCCATGAAGGGGCAGGGGGAGCAATGTCGCAGAAGTGTCTCCCTCCACTGCCTGGGATGAGGGGGGTGTGAGAAAACCGATGGTAGCCAGGACCCTACAGAGTGCTTCTCCCCCACTGCATCAATGGAACCTTTCCTTCCATGGCCAAGGAATTCAACCTGGTCTGAACTGGGGGAAGGATGGGAAAGTTATAAGGATTAGAGGGGCCCACTTGCACTAAGCAAGGGGTTCTTCCCCCAGCATTCCCCACTTTTTGCCTCTTTAACTGTTTTTCTCTTTTTTTCTTTTCTAAGTGAGAATCCCCACCGCTCTGTTTCTAATAGGGAAGTTAACAGAGGAGTGACCCCTGCTGGCTGATAATTGCAAATTCAGCAGGGCTTATTTGAGGCACTAAATGGATATAAACAGCCTCTGAAATGCTTTTTCAGTCCCAAACTCAATTCCAAGCTTCAGGCTGAGGCCCTAGAAAGAGAAAGCAGGTCTGAGGAATTCAAAGCCAGGCAACAGGCACAATGTAAATGGACAGGACCAATTCCTGCTGACTGAACCCCATCCCACAGAAGGAGGCCATGCCTCATGGGATAAAAAGGCCCAGGGAACTCAAAGTTTTTCAACAGCAGGGAGAAAAGGAAACATAGGTGAGGGCAGTTAATTCCTAATCTCCAGGTTCTCCCTGCTTCATGGGTACATACCGCATTTGTACCTGTGGCCGGCACCTGCCAAGGTTGCCAGGGCGCAGGGGTAAGAGGTGGAAAGTGAAGTGAAGATGCTTGCTTTCCCTCCCCATCACACCCTGAGCTTTTTGCCAAAAGAAGGAAGGGAAATGAGGAACACCTCTATTCCCTGTCTTTCAGAATGGGCAGCCAGTTCTCCTCACCACCCCCAGCTTGTACTCCCCTTGAGTGTATCCTGAACCATTGGGACTGTTTTGACCCTCAGAATCCAGAGGAAAAGCGTCTCATAGCCCTCCGCACATAGGTTTGGCCAAATTATGGTTTACAGGAAGGACTGGCTTGGCTTCAGGAAGGGACCATTCATTTCAATACCATCCTGCAATTAGAACTTTTCTCTGGATGTGAGGACACATGGTCTGAGGCCCCAAATGTGCAGGCTTTCTATACCTTGCAAAGCAATCCAGACCTTTGCTGACATGTAGGATTGTTCCAGCCCTCCTGTTTGCTGTCTCGGGGAAGGCTGCCAGGGTCAAGCCCAGGGAATTAAAGACACGAGTCCCAGACGCACCCCCAGCTGACGTGCCAGCTCCCTCAAGCCCTGCTCCTCTGGGTCCACCCCAACCTCCGTATCCAGCTTCAGCCTCTCACCTGGCCCCTCCTAGAAATCTTCATCCCAAACAAGCCCAGTCTCACTCTTGCCCCTCCTACAGATGCCCAGTGAATTTGGGCCCAGTAAGGTCCAAGTCCTCTTTTCCCTACAAGACTTAAAGCAAATTAAGGGAGATCTGGGCAAGTGTTCAGATGAACCTGATAGATATATAGAAGCTTTCCAGAATTTCACCCTAACATTTGAACTCTCCTGGAGAGACGTTATGTTACTTTTGAGTCAGAACCTGATAGACACTGAGAAGCAGGCTGCTCTGCCAGCAGCAGAGAGATTTGGGGATGAGCTTTGCATCACCTATAGCATCAGGGAAGGGAGCGAATATTATCCAACTGGAAGAGAAGTAGCACCAGTGAAGGACCCTAAATGGGATCCCAATAATGAGATGGAAGACTGGAAGAGGAGACACTTTCAGGTGTGCATAATAGAGGGCTTACGTAGGTCTAAGACCAAGCCTCTCAATTATACTAAGTTGTCCATAATTAACCAGGGATTTGATGAAAATCCCACTGCCTTCCTGGAGAGGCTAAGAGAGGCCTTGGTAAATCACACCTCTCTATCTCCTAATTCAATCGAGGGACAGATAATCCTAAAGGATAAAATTATTACTCAGGCAGCTCCTGACATCAGGAGGAGGTTGCAGAAATGGGACTTGGGACCAGATAGTACATTAGAGGACCTCCTGAAAGTAGCCACCTCGATCTTTTATTATAGAGACCCCTGGGAGGAATCTGACTGCCGTTTTCCCCCAAAACAATGCCCCCTTTCAGCAGGAAGCAGCTAAGACTGGTCATCATCCATATTCTAATGGCAGTTAGATGTACCTCTTCAGAGGGGGCAAATGACATGAAAGTGAAGTGCTGGGATGGGAAGGGCATGATCCCTTTGAATGATATAGAAAAGGTGAAGGGAAGTGTTGGATACAGGAGGCTGTGGTCCCTGGCTAAAAGCTCCACACCTGGGCTTGTCCCCACGGACCTAGATGACAACAGGCATTTTTGTTTTCCTGACCGAATGTTGTCTTTCCCAAGATCATCCTGGCCTGCTAAGACCCATCCTGTGCTTATAAAAACCCCAAGACCCTAGCAGTCAGACACACAGGAGGCTTGACGTCGAGAGGAGCACATCAGCGGAGGAACACACAGGCGGCTGGACATGAAGAGGAACATGACAACAGGCACCAGCACACCAGCAGGGCACCGACTTATAGAACGATGTGGATTTTGCCTGGGGCAGTCAGAGGAGAGCCAGGGCTGCTGAACGGCCCCAATCCAGGGAGAAACCAATCTCCTTTCTGGCTCCCCCATCTGCTGAGAGCTACTTCCACTCAATAAAACCTTGCACTCATTCTCCACGTCCACGTGTGACCTGATTCTTCTGGAATGCCAAGGCAAGAACCCTAGGATACAGAAAGCCCTCTGTCCTTGTGATAAGGAATGTGTCTAATTGAGCTAGTTACCACAAGTTGCCTATAAATGGCAAAACTAAAAGACCACACGACCACTGGGGCTTCAGGAACTGTAAACATCCACCCCTACACACTGCCAGTATGAGAAAAATTTGCTGATATGTTTTCTGCTGACCTGATGACAATGTTCCTATGGTCACACTAACCACTGCTGGGTAATTTTCATCATGACTCTTGTTTTCATCTGCTGAAACCGGCCTCCCCAAGAAAGACAACTATTTTCAAACTGAGGAAATAAAGTGTTACTAAACCACAGTGTTCTCTCATGGCTGTTCCTGGAGTTCTTCAAAACACTTGATATTATAAAATAGAATTATTACAGATCACTGTATGTTATGGATTTAGTCAAAATGATAATTTAAAATATGGTTTAAAATAAAAAACTTTATTTTCCAAAGAAGATAGTTTTTTAAACAAGAATATCCAATAAAGACAGTATGAGGTCAGCTGACTTTAGTGTTGGTGTATGTGTATGTGTGTGTGTGTTTATAGTTTAAAAGGTAAACAAAAATGCTTTATTATTTAATATTACGCAAAACTTTTGTTTAAAGGAGAAAATCAAATTTTATTTTTGTTGAAGTTAATTTTTAATAAAATTTTACGTAAAATCTATGGAATTTTAATCAGTTTGACTCTAAGGTAAGATTTTTATAAAGTTTGCATAACATTCATAGTTCTTTTAAAGAATAGATTAATATTCTAAGAAAACCCTGCTATTCTGATACATGAACCCAAATTAAGGCCTTGTATCAGAGTGTTTTTAATGAATGTTTAATTTCTGTAAAAACAAAATAATTCCTTAAATTTTAACCAATGCTTTTTTTTGTAAAATTTTTATAGAACTAATTTTTACAAATCTTTTACAACTTATTTAAACCTTGAGTCTTGTCTTGTTATTTTTTATTTTTGAATTTAACATAACTTTTTAGAACTGCAAAACTAGACAAAATTACTGTTTTTTATAAAAACTATATGTTCATGTCTTTTTATAACTTTTTATTAAAAATACATTCTACTTTTTCATATACTTTGTATGAGAAATAGTTTTAGTTACATATATTCATTATAATGTTAACTCCAAGCAACTCCTTTTAATAATAAACTTAGGATGTAGGCAATTTTGATAGGTAGCAGTTGCAAAGCCTACTGCAAGGGTCAGAGCTGTAGAAAATGTCTCTTTCCAGCACAGAGAGGGGGCATGGTGCCCTTCATTTGTCCCCAGGCTTTAGCTAGAACTTAAAGCTCTAAAACAGACATGTAATTCAATTATTTAAAAGATTACAGGAGTTGTTTATGACCTGAAAATATTTACTAAGGGCAGTATTTGACCTGTATAATTTAAACCAAATGTCTAAATTCTGAAGATGTTCTAATTTTACTTTACTAATAATTTTAAAGCATGCTTTATTTTTTAAAGATTTTTAAAGTCAGGTGAATTAAAAGGGATTTGAGTTAAAGTTTTTGTATTTTCTGAGAAAATATTTAGGTGTTTAGTTTTCTAAGCCGATTAATGAGGGTTTCATCATATATTTTGGTAGTGAAACATTATGTACACATGAGACATCTAAATATACAGACACACAGACAGAAGCAGATTTTATAGATTTATAACTTTTTAATTGTTTTTTAAAATATTTTCCATGATTTAAAAAAAAATTATTATTATTTGTTATTTGCCTAGTCAGGCTATTTGAGGGCCGAAAGTAGTCAAGATCTATTTGTCCAATAGAGGGCGCCCCTCCACGCCGCTGGCTTTTTAGGGAGTCCGTCGATGGAAGACCTGTAATAAAAATAAGGTTGATGGTTAGGGCTGCTGAGGTGATGAGCCCTAGATTTCTTCTAGTTCAGGAGTCTAAGTCACTCCGCTCATGCAGCTAAGTCATTCCCCAGCCCAGATCCCCACATAGCATCATTCTCCCCCTGTCCCGCACCCAGACTCACATCACCTTCTTCCTCGTCTGGACTCAAATCTCTCTCTCTGCTCCCCGCTCCATAAGGACACTTGGGATTCCATTAGGGTCTAGCCAGATAAACCAGAAGAACCTCCCAACATTAAGATATTTAACTTCCTCACCTTTTCAAAAACGCTTTTGCCATAGAAAGTCACTTTCACCGGTTACAGGCGGTAGTTCTTGGTTACAGGAACTTGAAAATGTTCCCTCTTCATATTTACCAGCTTTTGTAAAAAGCATGTTTTCTGTCCTGTGTACTTGAGCATGCTAAAGTCTTGTCCCCTTAGTGATTCCACCTTCTGTTGCCCAAGCACTAGGGGAGGGTCCTGCTGCCTCTTTTCACCTCTGACATTTGCACTCTTACCCAACATGGCTACTGATCCGTTGAAAAGGCCGTGAATTTAAATTTAAAATGGTGCCATTTACCACCTCCCTAGTTCATTGGCCAGGACACTTCCTATCGGGTTAACTTATGACCCAAGTGACTTCTAAAGGGGTGGCTCACCGTGAGGGAGGCACAGCAGAACTTGGACTGAGTCCTGCAGGACTCAAGTATTACTTTTTCCCTTTCATTTGTTTTAAATTTCATTGACTTCTTTGGATCAAATAGCTTACATTGTATTGCTGTTTTTTTTTTCTTTACCATTTTGTTGGTGAGGTTTTGGTGTTGTTGCTTTTTTTCTTTCTTTCTTTCTTTTTTTTTTTTTTTTAGAAAAAGGGTTAACTTCTATTGCCCTGGCTGGAATGTAGTGGTGCAATCACAGTTCACTGCAGCCCCCAACTCGTAGGCTTAAGCAATCCTCCTGTCTCAGCCTCCTGAGTAGCTGGGACTCTAGACATTTGCTACCGTGCCTAACTTTTTAGAAAATTATTTTAAAAAAATATTTTAATCCTTTAGAAAAAAATGTGTTTTCCATAGATTCCCTGTTTTTAAATATAAAGTTTATTGCCATTGAAATTTTAAGAGATATTGTGGCACACTGTCTTATGTATGAGATAACAAAATTCCCACCAGAGCAATTAATAACAACGGAAAAGGCAATGACGATGTTTAACTCGACAATTAAATTCCGAATTAAGCACATGCTGATGTCTATACTAAAAGAAAATTCATTTTTATGCAATTAGTTGTACGTGAAATGTGTCAAAGAAATACATAATCTATGAAATAAATGATGCATTATCAGCCAGAACAAGTAAATTTGGTTTGATATCTATGTATACACCCAGTACAATTTCTGCACTACAGTTAGAAAAACTTAAAATACAATATAACCTATTTATTGTAAAAGGATGATGAAACATGAAATATGAACAGCACAAATATGTACAAGTATCACTTCTCAATGGAAAAAATTACGTATAAAAAAACCAGCAGAGTTTGTGGTTGAAATATGAACAGCATGAATATGTACAACTATCACTTCTCGATGGAAAAAATTATGTATAAAAAACAACAGCAGAGTTTGTGGATGCATTGATAATGGTAAATCCTGTATGTTATGGTAAACATCTTCATGAAAACACATTTACAAACATTTTCTCTGCTGAATGGATGATCATGAAAAGGAATTTGTTATCATCACATTTGCTGGACTGAGCATAATGAAAAGGAATATACTACGATCTGGATTGTTGAACTTCCATCCAGAGAAGAAATTTACTATTGTGCTACAAGCTGCAGTAACAATCTCCTTGTGATCTCAGCAAGGCCTGCAGGGCAATTTACATCAGGACTCCTCTTTTCCTCTCCAGAACTTCACTTACCTGAGAAAGAGTGTCTTTTGATAAATAAAATATTATTAAATGAGTGTGGTCTTATGACTGTTTCCAGGGTGATTTGCAATGCATGTTGGGGTGAGTCTCTGGGGTGTGTGCTGAGGAGGGGTGGCTTTTAATCTTGAGAGAATGTATGAAAGGGAAAGAAGGTCTCCACAGCATCTGAGGGGCTAAGGACCATGACCCTGCCTGGATTTAAGAAATGGGAAGGTTTCAGAGGGTGAAATTAGGTGTTGAGTCTTGGGGGGTGTTTGAGAAGCTCCTGCCTCAGGAGTGGAAGCTCTGGGGGAAGTAAAGACAATCCTGGGTGCCTCAATGGGGCATTTCCTAATTTCAGAGAAATCAAACCAAAAACAGTGAGGAAATGGACTCCTTGAAGACTGTGGTCCATGAATATATGTAGGGAAAGGAAAGAGAGATCAGACTGTCACTGTGTCCATGTAGAAAGGAAAGACATAAGAGACTCCATTTTGAAAAAGACCTGTACTTTGAACAATGGCTTTGCTGAGATGTTGTTAATTTGTAGCTTTGCCCCAGCCACTTTGACCCAGCCACTTTGACCCAACTTGGAGCTCACAAAAACATGTGTTGTATGAAATCAAGGTTTAAGGGACCTAGGGCTGTGCAGGATGTGCCTTGTTAACAAAATATTTACAAGCAGTATACTTGGTAAAGGTCATTGCCATTCTCTAGTCTCAATAAACCAGGGGCACAATACACTGTGGAAAGCCGCAGGGACCTCTGCCCTTGAAAGCGGGGTATTGTCCAAGGTTTCTCCCCATGTGATAGTCTGAAATATGGCCTCATGGGATGAGAAGGACCTGACTGTCCCCCAGCCCAACACCCATAAAGGGTCTGTGCTGAGGTGGATTAGTAAAAGAGGAAAGCCTCTTGCAGTCGAGATGGAGGAAGGCCACTGTCTCCTGCTTGCCCCTCAGAACTGAATGTCTCGGTGTAAAACCCAATTGTACATTTGTTCAACTCTGAGATAGGAGAAAAGCTGCCCTGTGGCGGGAGGTGAGACATGTTTGCAGTAATACTGCCTTGTTATTCTTTACTCCACTGAGATGTTTGGGTGGAGAGAAACATAAATCTGGCCTGAGTGCACGTCCAGGCATAGTACTTTCCCTTGAACTTAATTATGATATAGATTCTTTTGCTCACATGTTTTTCATTGACCTTCTCCTTATTATCACCCTGCTCTCCTACTACATTCCTTTTTGCTGAAATAATGAAAATAATAATCAATAAAAACTGAGGAAACTCAGAGGCCGGTGCCGGTGCAGGCCCTTGGTGTGCTGAGTGCTGGTCCCCTGGACCCACTGTTGTTTCTTTATACTTTGTCTCTGTGTCTTATTTCTTTTCTCTGTCTCTCCTCCCACCCAACTAGAAATACCCACAGGTGTGGAGAGGCAGGCCACCCCTTCAAATATATAGGACCCAGAACCAGTCCATTGGGGAGGAAGCTTTCAAGGGACACATTTTGGCTGGGAAGGAGGACAGTGAAGCTCTCCAGCCAGGGAGGACGCCTGGCAGTCACAGTGATCTCGGAGGGGCCCTGCACACTTCCACCACTTCCGGTTCCTCGATTCCTCTCCACCACACCCATTTTCTGAGTTCTCCTGGGCACCAGGCACTGGAAGCCGTTCCTGCTCTCATTCCTCACCCCCCTTTTCTTCATTCTTCAGGGCACGACATTCTCCAACATGTTCACATCCCTCAATTTTCCTTCCCCACCTGTCTGGAGTCTGAAGCTCCAGGCACTGCAAGGATGTGAGTTGGGGACCTGTTTGTTCTCCCCGTTTTACTGGATCTTTCAGGGTCTCCATTGTCCAACTTACTAGGAGCCCTGAATGCTTGCCGACTCTACCCCATCTGCTCCATTCTGTGGGCTGTGTCCTCTCTCAAACCTCCCAGGTCTTTCAGGCCCAGGCCCCCTCCTCCACTTGCTTGTGCCCAGGCTCCTACCCAGCCTCTGCTAGGATCCAGTATTGTCAACAATAAATAGATCTCCTTGGAATCAGGGTAACTGGCAAGCTCGGTTGAAGGACGTATGAGAGGATGGAGGTGGAGAGTTCACTCTCCCAAAGTGCCCCTCACACACACACGCAATGGGGACAATGCCAGAGCCTGACCTTATTTCACAGCAAGCTGCCCAAATCTCACCTTGCTCAGTGCTGGACACTGAAAACACTGACCCTCCCAGTGAAAGCTGCTCTCCTCTGTTCTTAGTCCCCACGCCAGGCCACTCTGCATTCTGTACCCTTCCCCCAGGCTGGTGTCCCAGACCGTACTTTACCCAGAGAGCCCTGCCCTCAAACTCACTTCCTCTCCGGACAGGCTTTCTGCCTTAAGCTGCGCTTCTTCCTCGGTGGTAGCAGGAGGCCTTCCTCTCCCTCCTCCCTCTATGATTTCTTGCACCTAAATGAATCTAACCTTGCTCTCACCTTTGTCCCTTGTGCCCTAACTTCTGTTGACACCTTCATCTGGTGCCCCTGACATAACCCTGGGGCTCCTGAGCCCTGGGACATTTGTATCTAGACAACCACGAGCCTAACACCCTAAACAGACACAGGCATAGACACACACACACACACACACACACACACACCCAGCACCAAAGCTGCTCCTACCCCAGTCACACTGGAATTAGATGAAAACCCCAGGCTTTGGACTCCTTGGCTGTGAGGGTCTTCCTGGAAAGAGCCAGGTCCAGCTGCATTTTCTCATACCCTGAAATCGCACCACTACACCCCAGCCTGAGCAACAGAGCCAGACTCCATCATTTAAAAAAAAAAAAAAAGTACCCAAAAGAGTTCCAGAATAAGATAAAAATGGTTTACATACAATCTCGCTATCTGGGAATATAAAGTGCAGTTACTAAAAGCAGGGAATCTCTTTCCTGAAACTATTTCTAACTCTGTGAGGAGCTGCTAGATTCTACAGTGCCTGACAGACAGCTCTCAAGGGCCGTTTGGCTTGTGAATGGCATTTCCAAGGCAAACATCTTGTTTGAAAGCTGCTGCTCTGGTTAAAGAAGGGTCATGAAAGTCTTTTTTTTTTTCCAGTTATTTGGGTGAAGTATGTTTTTGCGAGCAAATTTACCTTTCCCTCTGCGTTCTCCACATTTTGGGTTGTGATTTTATGACAATATAGTTTGTATATTCAACTTATACATATTTATAGTGTTCAGTAAGAGCCTTTTAAAATAAAACAATTGAACACATTGGTTATTTTCACAAGACTCTAACCAAAATAGTATATTTTTAGGTAAAAACCCAGGAAAATTAACTCAAAAGTAGCCTATATGGCCGATGAATTCTTGCTGCATTTTATGCAAATTATCAGGCCAAGTGTAATAAGCCTAAAATTGATTTTGCACACAAATTGGTCTTACTGTAATTTCTCTTTAATAGGAAAAATAGGGGGCTACAGACCAACCAGGATCTTCATGAGGACCAGTGAGCACAGGAGTAGGAAAGGGGTCACTAGCATCACTGAGATGCAGGTGGTGGCCATTCCTCATAGAAAACGAGATTTTTGGGGAACCTCCCATAGTGCTGAGCTCCATAGTGCCCACGGGGATGACAGAATCTGAGAATGGCTGGGACCAGGACTTTTGTCATCAAAAGCCAGCTGGAGGGTATAGGCAGTAAAATTGGAATGCAGCAAAGGGAGGCTGACCTGCAAAGCACTAGGAGGGATCTCATAAAACCTGTTACCCTTAGAGGCAAGACAGGTGGAAAAAGAGTAAGTATGTCACTTAGTAGACATAATCAAGAGGAGCAGAAAGCCAAGGTCAGCTGTCCGCCATAGAATGTCATGATCCCTTGCTCAGTGAAGACCTGAGACAGTCCTCACACCACTATATGTTTTTCTTTTTATAACCTTTATTAAAATACAGTTTATTTTTTCATTTACTTGGCACATTTGTATAATTGTGAAATTGTTTTCTTAGTAGTTTTAGTTACATATACTCAGTATAATGTTAGCTTTTAGGAACCCCTCTTTAGTAAAAATAAAACAAAAACGTAAGCAATTTTAATTGGTAGGAGTTGCAGAGCCCACAGCAAAGGACAGAGCTGTGGAAAATGTCTGACTCTTCCCAGCACGGAGTCGGGCCGTGGCTCCTTTCACATGTCCCCAGACCTCAGCTAGAATTGAATGCTCTAAAACAGACAGGCCAGATGATTATTTAAAATGTTTTGGAAACAGTTTTTGACCTGCAAATATTTAGTAATGGCAATATTTCACATGTCTCATGTGGACAAAATGTCTACATTGTGAAGATATTTTTCTTTTACTTTACTAATAATTTTTAAAACTGACTTTATTGTTTTAAGTTTTGTAAAGTCACATGAACTAAAAGGCAATTGAGTTAACGTTTCAATTTTTCTGATAAAGACTTGATTGAAGTGTTTATTTTTAAGCCAATGAATGAGAGATTTATCATATATTTTGAAGTGAAACGCTATATACACATGACTCATCTAAATATACAGACTGAGGTCAATTTTATAGATTTAGAACTTTTTTTATTTGTTGGGCTTTTAATATTTTTTAAAAGCTTTACATCCTTTATTTTTGATAATTTGTGATTTCCCTGGTGCAATTATTTGGAGCCCACAGCAGTTGGGATCTGTGTATGCAGCAGAGGGTGCCCCTCCAAGCCTCTGGCTCTCTAAGGCCTCCTTCCATTTCAAGGGTAATTAAAATAAGGCTGATTGTTAGGGATTCTGGTGTGATGAACCCCAGCCCTCTCCCACTTCTGGGGGCTAAGTGTTTACATGCCATCGCCCTTTGTTCCCCTACTGGGCCTCACATCACCTTCTTCCTCTTCTGGACTCAAATCTCTCTCTGCTTCCCCTTCCTAAGGACACTTGGGATTTCACGAGGGTCTAGCTAGATAAGCCGGGAGAACCTCCCACTGTTAAGATAATTAACTTCCTCACATTCACAAAAGCTCCTTTGCCACAGAAAGTCACTCTCACAGGCTACAGGTCATAGTTCGCAGTTACAGGAACTTGAAAATATTCTGCCTTCAAGTCCACCAGCTTTTGTAAAAAGCATCTGTTTCCTGTCCTGTGTAGTTGAGCACACTAAAGTCTTGTTCCCTTAGTCATTCCTCCTTCTGCTGCCCCTGTGGGGAGGGTCTTGCTGCCTGTACCCACCTCTGACATTTGCACTCTTAGACAACATAGCCGCTAATTTGTTGGAAAGGCGTTAAATTAAAAAAAAAAAAGTGCTATTTACCGCCTCCCTCTTTGACAGAAGACTGTCTGTCAAAGTAACCCCGCCCCAAGTGACTTTTTAAGGGGTGGCTCACCAGGAGGGAGTCAGAGCAGAACTTGGACTGAGTCCTGCAGGACACAGGTATTAGCTTTTCTCTTTTATTTGCTTTATGTTTCATTTACTTCTTTGGATCGAATAGCTCCAATTGTATTGCTGTTATTTGGTTTTTCATTTTGTTGTTGGGTTTTTTGATGTGGTGTTTTTTTGTTTTGTTTTGTTTCTTTTTGTCTTTTTAGAAAGAGGGTTTCCCTCTATTGCCCTGGCTGGAGTACAGTGGTGGAATCACTGTTCACTACAGCCTCCAACTTATTCCTGGGCTCAAGCAATCCTTCTGTCTCCATCTCCTGAGCAGCTGGGACTCTAGGCATTTGCCACCGTGCCCAATTTTTTTTTAATTCCTTTTTAAAAATATTTTAATCCTTTCCGGAAAAAAATATGTTTTCCATGGACTTGCTTATTTCCTTTATACAGTCCATTGTCGTTGAATTCTTATTTGAATTTGTGATACACCCTCTCATAGGGAACATAACAAATTTCCTCCCACAGCAATTAATGACGAGTGCGATGAGAAGCATAATGACAATGATTAACTTGATAATTAAAAATCTAATCAACCAACTGTTGATGATTGTACTAAACAAAATAATTTCATTTTTACACAACCAGTTGTATGTGAACTATGTTGAAAACAGGATGCATGACTGGCGGCCAGAACAAAGAAGTTTGGTTTAATTTCTATCTATACACCCAGTAAAATATCTGTAATACCACTGGAAAACCTTAAAATACATTATCTATTTCTTGTAAAAGAATGATGAAATGTGAATTTGAACAGCATAAATATGTACAAGTATCTCTTCTCAACGGAAAAAATTATGTTTGTGGATGAAATATGAACCGAGTTTGTGGATGAAATATGAGCAGCATGAATATGCACAGATATCTCTCCTCAATGGAAAAAATCACGTACAAAATATAAGAACCCAGTTTGTGGATGCGTGAATAATGATAAATTGAGGCCGGGCGCGGTGGCTCACGCCTGTAATCCCAGCACTTTGGGAGGCTGAGATGGGCGGATGACCCGAGGTCCGGAGCTCAAATCCAGCTCGACCAATGCGGTGAAACCCCATCTCTAGTAAAAATACGAAAATTAGCCGGGTGTGGTGGCGCATGCCTGTAATCCCAGCTACTCGGGAAGCTGAGGCAGGAGAAATGCTTGAACCCTGGAGGTGGAGGTTAATAGTGTGCCCAGATCGCACGACTGCACTCCAGACTGGGTAACAGAGTGAGACTCCGCTTCAAAAAAACAAAAAACAAAGAATAATAATAATAACGATAAATCCTATATGTTACGGTAAAAATCTTCATGAGAACAAATTTACTATCATTTTTTCTACTGAATGGATGATCATGAAAAGGAATTTATTTTTATTTCGTATGATGGACTGAGCATCATGAAAAAAAATACTACCTTTTGGATTGTTGAACTTCCATCCTGAGAAATTTACTATTGTGCTGCATGCTGCAGTGATGATCTTGTGATCTCAGCAATGCCCATGGGGCAATTTACATCGGGACTCGTTTCATCTCTAGACCTTCACTTACCTGAGAAAGACAAGTGTCTTTTGATAAATAAAATATTGTTAAATGCAATGTTGCCTCATGATTTTTTTTTTCTTTTCCTTTTCCTTTTTTTTTTTTTTTTTAGATGTAGTTTCACTCTTCTTGCCCAGGCTGGAGTGTAATGGTGCGATCTTGGCTCGCTGCAATCTCTGTCTCCCAGGTTTAAGTGATTCTCCTGCCTCAGCCTCCTGAGTAGTTGAGATTACAGGTACACACCACAATGCCCAGTGAACTTTGTATTTTTAGTAGAGTCGAGGTTTCACCATGTTGGCCTCGCTGGTCTCGAACTCCCGACCTCAGGTGATCCACCTCCTGGGCCTCCCAAAGTGCTGGGATTACAGGCATGGGCTACCACGTTCAGCCATGATTGTTTCCAGGGTGATTTGCTACACATGTTGGGGTGAGTCTCTGGGTTGTGTGCCGAGCAGGGGAGGCTCTCAATATGGAGAGAACCCGTGAAGTGGGGGAGGAGGTTTCCATGGGGTCTGAGAGGCTGAGGGCCATGAGCCTGCCTGGGTTTAGGAAATGGGAATGTTTCACAGGGTGAACTTGGGGTTTGAGTCCTGAGGGTGTTTGAGAACTTTTTTCTTCAGGAGGGGAAGCTTCAGGGGAAATAAAGACAATCCTGGATGCCTCAAGGGGCATTTCCTAATTTCAGAAAAATCAAACCAGGAACAGTATGAAAATGGCCTCCTTGAAGACGGTGTTCCCTGAGTACCTAGAACCCAAAACCGGTCAGTTGGGGAGGAAGCCTTCAAGGGCCACATTTTGGCTGGGAAGGAGGACAGTGAAGCTCTACCGCCAGGCAGGAAGCCCAGCCAGTGTGTTCCCAGACCAAACTCAGGGTCTGGCTGCTATTTCTCACGGCCCAATAACGAGATGCAGATAAACTGGGGAGGAAGAGAGTTTTTTATTTCTGGAACCGGTTACAGAGAGAAGGCCCAGAAAATATCTCCAGACCAACTGTAAATTACAAGGTTTTCCAGAGCTTATATATTTTCTAAGATGTATGTCTACGTGTCAGTGTGCATTTATCTAAAGATATAAGTGATTAACTTCTTTTAATCTGTAACTCTAGTCTAAGTCTTGGAGACCTTTCTCTGGAGCCTCAGTACATTTACTTAAATCTAAATGAGTCCAGGTGCTGGGGCTATTACCCTGACCTTGTCTCCTGCTCAATCACAGAGGTTTGGGGGGGGTTCCTTTAGACCCCCAATGAACTTGTTTGTGGAGGCCTGGCGAGTTTCTTCAGACCCCCAATTAAATTTGTTTAATCCTAAACAGGTCTGGTTAAGAATTCCTTCTTTGTTTTGTCATGCTGTAAGGCCCAGGAAAGGCCTAGGTAAAACCCTTGGTGGGCTTTTGTTACATTCTAGCCTTTGTAGAAAGGCGCTGGCACTTTCAGCTTTTGATACTGAACTTAACCACTCAGTCAGTACTGAAGTAGTTGTGATGGGGACCTCCATTAGTGAAATCTGGCCTGCCACAATCCCCACTGTCAATTTGCGCATGATTTCTATCATGCTTGTATATTTATTTATCACAAGAATCATAGGGAGATGGAGCATTGTAATCTTTCTGGCTACTTCCTGCTGAGAGGGGGTCATCGTTATGGGGCACCGAATGCAGCACTGGAGTGGAAAAAGTCGATTTGTTCCCAGTAGCACTCTCTGTTTCGGGGGTGTAGAGGCAGCACCTGCTAAAACATAATAGTAGGCAACAGCAACACATATAAATAGGTTGCTGCTACTTCCTTCAGAAGTTTCGGTTGTCTAGTCTTCAGTTCACAGGGCTTTAAGAAAGCACAGCTTAGGTTTCAGTGATTTCCAATTAAGAAAAATGGGGAAAAAGGGAAAGAAAAAGGAAACAAATGAAAAGATTATTTAGGAGACTTGTAGCCAGAGAAATACGAATTTAACCCAAACTGTAGAAAATAATAAAAACTGAATGCCAGACTAGAATTTAAAAACAGGTGTACTATAGTTTCCAAAAGTTTTTGAAACATAACTTCCCTCTCTCCAGTTACCCTTTTTTGTTGTTGTTGTTGAGATGGAGTCTTGCTCTGTCACCCAGGCTGTCGTGAAGTGGCACGATCTTGACTCACTGTAACCTCCGCTTCCCTGCCTCAGCCCCTTGAGTAGCTGGGATTACAGGCACCCGCCATCATGCCCGGCTCATTTTTGTATTTTTGTAGAGATGGGGTTTCACCGTGTTGGCCAGGCTGGTCTTGAACTCCTGACCTCAGATGATCTGCCCACCTCAGCCTCCCAAAGTGCTGGGATTACAGGAGTGAGCCACTGCACCCGACCCCAGTTTCCCGTTTTTACTAAAGACAAATTACGACAGGACCAATTTGCTTTATTATGCTTTGCCACTTTATTTGTACGAGGTGCAGCAAGAATAATTATTTTTCACATAGGCTTTTAAAATTGGTTTTAATGGGACTTTGTTTTATAGAAGGAATCTGAGATAAGACTTTTTAAAGCTGAGCCCCTGCCATGGATTTCTACCATCAAATACATATGGTTGGGTGAATTCCTGTCCTCTTGAAGTTTCAAGATAACTTGGGATTCCTGACCTGTCAGAATGTGACATTCTTTTCTTCCCACAGATCAGTAACCCTGTACAGGGACTGTGTTCACAGGATATAAGGTCAGTTTTCCAAAGGCTTTATTAGCTCCACAAGTCAAGTTTGATTCCTTAAAGGAAAGCACAGCATTCTGGTCAAAACCTTGGTAAAATAACCAGTTTTTCAAATTGTGTCCTGTTACCAAAGAAAACACATTCTTATTGCACTTATGCAAATAACTATATTGCCATAAATTAAGAATACCCACAAATAGTTTCCAAATTCTGGGGAAATCGGGTAGAGAGAAACAAATAATGCTCCAAATGGTGTTCATAGGAGTATATTTTGATTAATCGTTAAAAGCTGTCAATAGCTCAAAAGAAAATTTGCCTTGACTCTGAAAAGCAAAACAAAGGATCAGCAACGTTTTAAGCAAAAAGTCAAAAAGATCACTTCAGCCTCCTATTAGTTCACTTCATGCAGTTAATTCCTGTCCTGCTTGATATCAATGAACATTTTAGCTCTCCAAGTGTCCCGAACATTTTTCCTCTCTTCTGATGTCACAATCTCCAAAGTTATCAAAATTTGCATTTAAGAGCACCTGTTAGGGCTTTATAGCTGATTATAAAATTACCTTCTAAAGAGGGCCAAAACAAGGTAACATGTGTATATGGGTGACTGAACGTTTTAGGGTAGTCATAGTCAAAGACACAATTGACAAGGAAATCTGTTACCTCTGTGGCCCACAATAATTTAACATGACAATTATAATTATGACTGATAATGTACACTGAGATATAGCAGAATTATAGGAGTCTCCCATAACTTTGGAACCCTCATCAATAACATATTTATAGAAATATAGCCCAAAGAAAGCTAAAAATCATTTTATATTTCACAATGCTTCCTGTATGATTTTTGTACCAAATAAGCCAAATTTCACCTTTACATTAGTGTACTATTAATGTTAAACCTAATTCTTAATAAAACCTGATAGACATATTTACCCAATTTTAATGTTTGACCATAAGGTAACATTTTTATAGACTTTCTATAACCCTTTACAATTTTTGTTAAAGAGCAGGTTAGTGCTCTAAGAGAAACCCATTGTGTTTTTATTTCAATGCTCAATTTACAGAAATGCTGAATTATACCCCTTCAACTTTAGTCAATATGTTTACACACAAAAATATTTTAATTAATTTTTTCATAAACCTTTCACAACTTGCTTAAACATTTAGCTTTATTTTATCCAACTTAAAGCAATTCTTTAACCTTTTAATCTAGGCAAAAAAAATCCATCTTCTCATAAGAGCTTTAGAGACTCTTAGGCTTCTTTACTAGGACAGCTGAGCTCTAAAGCATGTGAACTTCACCCACCACAACTGTTTGCTCCATCTCAAGCTCAGAACCCTGCCCTGTCTGCCTAACCACAAGTGAGTATTTCCTGCCTTGATTTCCTGACATTTCTATATTTAATTCAGCTTGTTAAGTTCCAAGAAATCCCCTGGCAATTTTTATTATTGACCTCTTCTTCTTTGCACAGGTATCCAACCCAGTATCTACAAATAAATGCTTCACTCATCTACTCCTTTCATGAAACATTGCAAATCTTTTTCTTACTAGTGCTTGGGCTTGCTTTTTTTTTTTTTTTTTTTTCTTTGCAAGGAAACATATAGATGAGCCTCAAGAGATTTAGAAATCTTTTCAGAGTAACCAGCTGAATGTCAGAAAGTCATATTTGGAGGCCAATCTAGTTAGATTAGATAAATAGTTTTTAATTTTAACAAACTGTCTTCCTTTTCTAACTGGACCTCTGATCTCACAGAAGCCAACAAAGTATTTGCAGTTTATAGGATCTAATTTTAAAATATGTGAAGAGTAGGCACATCTGGAAGGCAGGGCATCTAGATCTTTGAAAATCAAAAATCCCGAATTTCACATTGAATCTGAGGTCTCTAAAAGAAGGGACATGCCACAAGACCAAGCCACACAATTTTTCCACACTGCACAATGCTGTAGAAACATGTCTTCAAGGCTAGTAGCACAGCAACAATCAGCCCACTTTTAATCAGACCATCCCCAAAGGAAATCATATTCATTGGTGGTGTTTTCACAGCCTTTAAACTGTGTCCAAACTGCACCTTTCTCATCTAAACTTGCAAAGAAACAAGGAGCCCCCTGCAATCACAACCATTTATTGCAACGGCTCTCAGCCATCTCCAAACTGCAGCCCTCACCAGTGACCCAGCAGCCGTTGCACTCACAAAGGACGTGTCTCTCACAGTACAAAGTAATGCCTGGTACTCACAAAACCAAAGCAATCAGCCAAGATGAAATAAAAGAGAGCAGAGCTGCAGACCTGGAGGAGCCTGTCCCTGACTCTGGACTCCACAAGGAGAACAGGAGACCCCCAAAAGGGGTGAGTGGGATCTTTTTGTGTATTTCTCAAGGAATTTCAGAGTCACTTAAAATTCCCTCTAGATCCCTTCATGTGATACCAAAGATGCCAAAAGGAAGGTAAAGAAGGGAAAAGAAGAAGTACATGGGAGAGGAATTCCTTTTAAAAAGAAGTGAGCAGAGGAACCAAGCACCTATTTGTTTTAATTCAAAATCTAATTTTATTTTGTCAAAATTTCAACTCTTATTATAGATTCAGGGGGTACATGTGCAGGGTAGTTACATGGGTATATTGTACCAAGCAATTAATTTCTAAAACGGAGTTTCACTCAAATCCAAATATTTTTCAAAACAGGAGGCAAAAGAGAAAATCCAGAAAGACTGTATGTACATATAATTAAATATTAGCTTTTCATGAAGCCGACTTCTGACCATAGAGCTCTTTGAAAAAGAAAAATAAAACCTTCCAGATCTCTTATAATCAGATTTTAGCCAACACAAAGAATTGCGATTTCCACTCTTTAAACTTTTTTTTACCAAAGGTAATCTCACCAATACTAAATAGGTAAAAAAGTCAAATGCCACGCAAACATTAAACCAAAGGCGCTGGGGCCCTGACTGGGAATTGAACCCAGGCCATGGTGGCGAAGGCATAAACTTGAAGCTAGGCCACAATATAAGGCACCTTTCATTGTGAATCCCACAGAATATTGAAAGCAGGCAGTATGAACTTCAAAAGATTTTTTTGGCAGGGGGTCAGATTTTTTATCTTTAATTTTATCAGAAGGATTTTTAATGCAAGCCATGAAATCGTTACATATCTCCTTTGAAATTTGATTGTCCCATGAGTACAAATAGGTCAATTGTTTAGAATAAAGGAATCTAAAATCTTTTTATAAATTTAGAGATTTTTCTAATTTAACAGATCCATCCTTTGACCACTGCTTAGAATTTGCGATGCCATACTTCTTCCAGTAGTGATTCAATCCAACACCTACTTCATAAAAAGCCAAGGATGTAATTTTTTCAGTTTAGTGTAAGCTTTACCATTTAAGAAGTAGGTATTTTTGTAAAGGGCCTGAAAGAGGCAATCCCAAAGATCTCCTCCCCTCCAAAAATTACTCCCAGAATTCGGCTAAGATAGCAAAAGACCCTTGTTTCCACAGCTAAGGATGGAGTTTGTGTGCATGTGGTGTCTCCAGTAAGACAAATCTGTGGGTCCTCCAGTCACAGACCCGTTACTCTGTGGCGTGTCACTTAGAATCCTTGTGTGTCTCACCCTCAGAAAATTCAGAGCTTATATCTCCTAATCCAGTTTTACCCCAAGCCTTTGTTCCTGGGTGAGCCAATTTGGAGATTCAGGAGGTATTATATTGTAGTTGGTAAATCAATTGTGATGTGGGGTCCTGTCGGGTTCGATATCACAAGCAGTATCAGCATGTGAGGACCAGAGCTGTGAACTCAACGCTGTCAATCGACAGCTTTTAGGAGTTTCTGTGAGGACTGGGTGGATTCAGGGACCCTGAAAACCATACTTGTCACCCTTCTAGTCCTGTGTGTCTGGAACTAGAAACTCTTTGGTAAGCATGGGTTCTCTCTCAGGTCCCTGGACATCCCTAAAAAGAGAGAGCATGTTTACATTGCAAGTGAACTGGCATTTCCTTTCTCTCCTGCAAAATGGTCTCGTTTGTCAACAGGGGATACATCTCTCTTCCTTTTGGGAAGTGGGAGGATGTAGGTTATTCAGTGCTGGTACTTTGATTTAGTTCCTACATTTGATCCCTCTACTTGGTGTGTAAGGTAGATGCTATTATCCTCATGTTAGAGATATGGAAATGGGCTCAGGGTGGATGAGATATTGGTTACTTTGGGAGAAGTAGCAAATGATAGAGCCAGTACTGAGCCCTGGACTATCTCCAAAAACCATGCCAAGAGTTTCGTCTGGGGACCTGAGCCTGATCATCTTACTTCCATGAAATGGGGCCTATTTTCAGGCGATAAACAACTCTACAGAAAATGTGCCATTTTAATGCAATTCCTTTTTTCAGTGTTACTCTCCTACCTTTACAACTATTATATGCTCAAAGTTAAGCTAAGTTTCGTGGAAAACAGAAAACAAAATGCTTCATAATTATAAGTCATGAGATCTACATAGCATTTAAAATTTCTCTAAGGCAAAACACATAGATGAAATTAAATGGTGAAAGTCAACCTGTAAAAAAGTGTTTTAAATTTTAAAAACATTTGACTATCTTTGAAACATCTATCTATCTATTACATCTCCTTATAATATAAAAAACCCAGCTGGGCACGGTGGCTCACACCTGTAATCCTAGCACTTTGGGAGGCCGAGGCAGGTAGATCATGAGGTCAGGAGATCGAGACCACCCTGGCTAACAGGACGAAACCCCATCTCTACTAAAAATACAAAATATTAGCCTTGCTTGGTGGCACATGCCTGTAGTCCCAGCTACTCTGGAGGCTGAGGCAGGAGAATCACTTTAACCCAGGAGATGGAGGCTGCAGTGAGCCGAGATCATGCCACTGCACTCCAGCCTGGGTGACAGAGCGAGGCTCTGACTCAAAAACAACAACAACAAAAAAAAACCTTCAACATTTATACAAACAAATAAATGTCTCTAGTATAAAAATTAACAGAAGCTATGAGAAGGCAGATCATAAATGAAGTGCAAATGCTGAATGAGCACAGGCAAAGATTCTTATCCTCAGTAATAGATAATTAATCATAAACTTAAACGATGTATTAAAATATATATTCTCTGTTTAAAAAGTAAAAGACAACATACTGCTTTAGTAAGCCTTAATTAAACAAACTTTCATGGTAAAATTTCATTAGAGAATTTGTGCAGGCTTTGGGGAAAATCATGTATTCATTGGTTTGGCATCTCTGTCTTTAAAAAGCCACTTGAGTGTCACACTTTAATAGGAGATTTGAATACATTCCTACCTGTAATTGATAAATCAAGCAGTCAAATGAATCAGTAAACATATAGACTATTTGAACAATGTGAGAAGCTTGATCTAACAGATTTATGTATTTTACTGGAAGTTTTTTAAAGCACACATGGAAAACTTAGGAAATTTTGCCATATATTATGCCAAATACTACAGCTCAGAAATTACTCATCGATTGTATGCACTGCACAGACCATGTTTTGTGGCCACTGTGCTAAATTAGAAGAATAAAAGTATAACCAGAAAATGTATCTTTAGAAACAACATTTCAAATAAAACATCATGGATTTAAAAACAAGTGATAATTAAAATTTGAGAATATGTCTTACCAAAAATGAAGACTTTATGTAAAAGCACATAGGGTGTAGCTGAAGTGGTACTTGTGGGCAAATGTAAACTGCTAAAATGCTTACAGTAGAAAAGATTTTTAAAAGAGGTGGTAATTCATGAGCTACTTACCCATTTTTATAGTAAGAAAAGAGCAATGTTTCAAACAGGAAAAGAAATAAATATAAAGGCAAAAAATAAGAAAATAGTTAATATGTATGAAAAAAGAATCAACAAGTCAAAAGATGTTCTTTAAAAAGCAAAGTTCCAGCAGGATTATTAAGAAAAAGTGAGAGAAGACGCCAGTACTCATAAATAGGAATGAAAATGGCAACAGTTACAGACAACAGACAATGAAAGGACACTGAGCACCCTTATGCCAAATGCATTAAACATTAGATAAAATGGATGAACACCTAGAAAACTAAAGGAAACCAGAACTGGGTCAGGCAGGAAAAGAGGCTGGATGTGATGCTGCATGCTTGTAGTCCTAGCTACTGGGAAGGCTGAGGCGGGAGGATCTATTGAGATCGGAAGTTAGAGGCTGTAGTGAGCCAGGATCAGGCCTGTGAACAACGTTGCATCTCAGCCTGGACAACAGGGCAATACAGAGAGACTTCCTCTCAAAAACAAAACAAAACAAAACAAAACAAAAAGCATGAGTAGCCCTATCAACCAATAATGAAACTGAATTGGTATTTTTCATCCTTCCAATACAGGTAACACCAAAGCCAGATTATTTTACAGAGTTCTCCCATTATTCAAGAAACAGTTAATTACAGTCTTACACATACTCTCCCAGAAAATGGAAAAAAGGAAGCAGATGCTTAGCTCTTTTATCTTTTCCTTTTTATTTCTTCTTTTTTTTTCTTTTGAGACAGGGTCTCGCTCTGTCATCCAGGCTGGAGTACAGTGGCACAATCATAGTTCGCTGCAGCCTCAAATTCCTAGGCTCAAGCAATCCTCCTGCCTCACCCTCCCAAGTACCTAGGACTACAGGTACTCACTGCCATGCCTGGCTAATTTCTATTTTTCATAGAGATGGGGGTCTCACTATTTTGCCCAGACTGGTCTTGAACTCCAAACCTCCTGCCCCGGCCTCCATTAGGGCTGGTTTCTTAGCTCTTATTGTGAGGCTATTATAACTTTGACCCCCAAACCAGAAAAAAATACAGAAAGGAGAATAACAGGCTAATCTGAGCATATACAAAAAATCCTAAAAGAAAATTTAGACACAAGACAGCAGTAAATAAAACAGATATTGTTCAGTGACAAGTGGGTTTTCTCCCAAGAATACAGTTAAACAGTAGAAACTCAGTTCAATGTAATTCATAACTTTGGTGACTTAAAGAAAGTAAATCATATGAATTTTTCAAATGATGTCTCCAGAAAAAGCTTTAGCTCAAATTCAGCCTGAATTTATGCTAAAAACTCAGTAAACCAGAAATAAAAGTGAATTACCTCAATCTAAAAAAGAGCGTCTACAAAATGCTACAGAAAGCATGCTTTATACAATCAGAGAGCAAGACAAGGGTGTTCACCATCCCCACTTTATGAGAAAAAAGACCCCACAATATATAGAGGGATATTGCCTTGCAGCAAGACAAAAATATAAAATAAAAGGTCCAAGAAATAACAAAGAAGAAACAATTATAATTTACAGATGACATTATTGTCTATATGGAAAACTCAAAAGAATCTGATATATTGTTAGAATCAAAAGATTGTTGAACAAGGTTATCAGATATAAAAATCCATATATGAGACACAATGACATTTGTTGAATAACAGCAAATGCAATTTTTAAAACAAACTTTTTGAGACAGGGACCTCATTATGTTGCCCAGGCTGGTCTTGAACTTCTGGACTCAAGCAATCCATCTGCCTCAGCCTCCCAGGTATCGGGGATTACAGTACAAGCCACTGTACCCAAAAAGTGCAATTAAAAAAAATTTGTAATAGCAAGCTAGGAAGAAAGACTTTCACATGCAAGGCCTCTATGTAGAAAAACATGAAACCTGGTTGAAAGACAATAAACAATAACTAACAGACCATAAAGATATAAATAACTAAACAGGTGGGGGTGGGGGAGAGAGAGAGAGAGTCTGTGTTCATTAATAGGAAGACTTGGTATTATGAAAATACTTTCCCCAAATTATGTATAGAATTATGAACTTCCAAATAAAATCCTTGCAGTTGTCTTTTAGCTGGACAAGCCAATTCTAAAATTCATGTGGTACAACAAAGAACCCTGAAGAAGAGTAACAAGGGGGCAATTGCCTACTGCACATCAAGTTGTCTCATAAAGCTCTGCTATTTAATATTTAAGACAGCGTGCTATTGGTATGCTGGTGGCACAGAGTGAAAAATCAGGAACTATTTCTACACATGCATAGAAACTTTATAATAAAGGTAGCATTACAGATAAATTGGGGAAAGAGAAGCAGTATTCATTCATGATTCTTGAGAAATTGGTCAGTCTACACACAAAGACCCTTGGGGATGTGTTTGAATTAGATAGAAAAAGTACTAATATAAAAGCAAAATATGATACATTCTATTATATTAAAAGTAACATCTACTTAAGAAAGAACACAGGCCAGGTGCTGTGGCTCACGCCTGTAATCCCAACACTTTGGGAGGCCAAAGAGGGTGGATCACCTGAGGTCAGGAGTTCGAGACCAGCCTGACAAACATGGTGAAACCCCATCTGTACTAAAAATACAAAAATTAGCTGGGTGTGGTGACAGGCACCTGTAATCCCAGCTACTTGGGAAGCTGAGGCAGGAGAATCACTTGAACCCAGGAGACGGAGGTTGCAGTGAGCCGAGATCGGCCAGTGCACTTCAGCCTAGGTGACAGAGCAAGACTCCATCTCAAAAAAACAAAACAAAACAAAGAAAGAAAGAAAGAAAAAACACTATAAAGAAAGTTTTTTTTAAGAAAAAAAAAAGAAGAAGAAGACACAAACTGGGAAAGAGATGTGCAGCACATACAGTTGACAAAGAATCTGTGTCCAGAATATGTAAATAACACAAAGCACGAAGGAAAAGACACACGACACAATAGAAAAGCTGAAGATGTCACATCCTAAAATTGTGTCTGCATACAACAGGAAATATGTATAAAGAGGTATGTCCACCATGGCAGCATGTATACAGCAAAAATACAAAACCAAAAAACACCCCAAGTGGTCACCAAAAACATGAGAGAAATAAAATGTGGCATATTAATGCAACAGGAGAATACCTAATAATAAAAATGCAAAAACTACAGCCAGCCACGCACATCTACAGGAGTGAAATTTGAGAACATAATTTTGACCGAAAAAAAAAGCAAGTATTTGAAAATTCAGTATTTCTTTTTTCTTTTTTTTTTTGGAGACAGAGTCTGGCGCTGTCGCCCAGGCTGGAGTGCAGTGGCGCGATCTCGGCGCAGTGCAAGCTCCACCTCCCGGGTTCACGCCGTTCTCCTGCCTCAGCCTCCCAAGTAGCTGGGACTACAGGCGCCCGCCACCACGCCCGGCTAATTTTTTGTATTTTTAGTAGAGATGGGGTTTCACTGTGTTAGCCAGGATGGTCTCGATCTCCTGACCTCGTGATCCGCCTGCCTCCGCCTCCCGAAGTGCTGGGATTACAGGTGTCAGCCACTGCGCCCAGCCTCAGTATTTCATTTTCAAGAAGTTTAAAAGCACATAACGAAATATATGGTTTTTCAGGATGCAGAGTGTGGTTGAAAATAATAACAGTAAGAGTATTCTAATATTTTGCATATTGGCTACTGAGAGTGGGGTGGGGAATGGAATTGGGTTGGGATACACAGCAGAGTTGGGGATACTGGTTCTGTTCTTTCTTAAGGTGGGTGAAGATAGTCTTGTTGTTTTCACTGTTGCTCTCCAAGGGGCAGGACACTGATTGCAGCAGCCCAGCCAGGTCCTATGCGAGGCCACCGCTGTCCTGGCCACCCCGGGACAGGGGCCTTGGCTACTCTCCCACACCTGTCTGGGCTGTTCCTCGGCGCTTCTGAAATCCCATCCCAGCCAGGGAAGGAACCCTGGTGGGGTGGAGTGGAGGCGAGGCACTCTGTAACCCCATCGGGGTGTGGAGCAGCTCTAGGTCCCAAAAGGCCACTAGGCATGCGCAAGGTCGCACATGCAGAAGAGAGACCCCTGCTCAGAGGCCAGAGCCGGCATGAGGCGGTCAGAGAGGATCCCCTAGTGGTGGAGGTGGAAAATTGCAAGGACGGAAAATTCCGCGTGAAAGGCGGACTTTGAACAGATCCCATCCAGGGAGCTGCTCTGCTGCAGAGAAAACTCGGACCCAGAAGCAGCTCCTCTAGGAACGGATTAGCTTCAGGGTTGTCACCAACCTGCCTTGAGTGAAGGGCAAGGGGGTGGTCCCTTTTCCACTGGACGCCATTTCCCTGGACAAGGGGCTCTCAGCACAGGACCTAGGCAGTGGCTGGGGGCTGGCACAGTGGTGGACTCTCTATCCCAGGCCAGCCGAGGCTCCATGGAGCTGCCCTAAGGCTCAGCCTGGGCGGATTCTGACTTAGAGGCTTCAGTCATCATCCCGCAGATGGCAGCTTCACCCATTGGCCCCTCAGCCAAGCACAGGCACCAAGTATCTGAATCTGCAGGGCCTCTGGTACTGGGCAGGATCGCCATGGCAACAACACATCATCACCAGGGTAAACCTAGCCTGTCTCACCTGGTCTAAACCAGCTCAGGTTCTCTGAGTGGGTGAGCAATCGTAGAAATTCTGCCTTACAATGAAAAAAAGAACCCACAGACAGGGATGAAAAATCGAGGGCATTGTGAACGCTTGCTGGCCACAAGCCAGCTAGCCCTGTGGTAACATTTCTGACACCTCCTGCTTAAAACCCAAAAGGTCAGAAAGATCCTAAGGCCCCGCTTTCACCTTCTGAATTCCTGCCGCAAATAAAGACCAAGGAGTGAGTTATTTATTATTTATTTATTTATTTATTTATTTATTTATTTATTATTTTGCCCTCCTGCTCCTCGGGAGGCTTCTGTCCTGAGCTCGCCTTAGCTAATCCTGCGTTACCGTTCGGCAGGTGTGCGCCTCAATCTCCCCACCTTACCGCCAGGGAACTTAGCCTGACGACACTCCGCCCCATCGGGTCAGGGAAAAACGGTAGGAGTAGTGGAATTTCACATTTCGCCCTCTGCCTGCATGGCCAGTCAACTCCGCCCCTCGCGGAAACAGGGGGTGGGCGCGGGACCAACTACTGATCCCCTCCCCTGTCTCTTCACAGCGCTGCAGTCAGGCTCAGCCGATGCTTCTTTCCTGCAGGTTCCGCCGAGCCCGTCCCTTGGCGGTGGTGTCACTGGATGCTGGGAAGAGATGGTGGGAAGAGCCTCCATCCATTGGCGCGTCACTAATTAGACAAGGAGGCCTTGGGCTCCCTTGAGAGAGTCACGGTTTCTCCTCCGTTGACCCGCCCTTCATTGAACTCCTTTACTTGGATATTCAGAGCGCTGGACAGAGATCACTTGGCGCTAACACCCTCGGAGGTCCTCACGGCGCTCCGTCGGAATGACACAGTCGGATTCCCAAGCTGCGAAGGGTGAGGGAGGGACTGCAGCGCAGGAACTGAGGAGGAGAGGCCCGCGCGCCCACTGGAGCCGAGCGGTGAGGAATAACCGGACCGACCCCCGACGGTGCGTGGTGAGTCTCCCCAACCTGCACCATTCGCGCCCCGAGGCGCCCCAAGCGCGGCTGGGAGGCCAGCTGTGGCTGGGACGATTCACTAGAAGGGCCGGCCTGCGTCGAGTTTCCAGGGTGGCCGCCAGTGACCCCGGCGGGGCCCATCCCCCTTGCCCTCAGAGCCCGCCCCGCCCCGCTCCCCTGTGGCACCGCCACCGCTACTCCAGGAGGCACAGTGGGGAGGAGAAGGGGGTGGGGAGCCTAAGGAGAGGAGTGAAGGTGTCCTGGCCTGCCTTGGGGAAGGGGCGGGGGCGGGTGCCTCTGGGACACCCAGCCCGGGGGATCAGCCCTGAGAGCCAGTCCTTACCCTGAAGTTACAGATCTGGCTTCCAGATTTCTGTAACCTACCTTGTTCCAACACAGGCCTGAGGCTGTTCCTGTTAGAGACCTGTTGCGGATACGGGTAGGGCCCTGCGGGAGATTTACATCTCCAGTCTTCCCCCCCGCCCCCCGCCCCCCTTGTTTTTCACAGACAGGCTAGAGCAGCGGCGCTATCATAGCTCACTGCAGCCTCGAACTGGTGAACTGGAGGGATCTTCCCAACCATCTTTTGTCTTTTTTAAGAAGAAAAATACAAAAGCTTTTATATAGGCTTACACACAGCTACAGAGCAAATCTTTATCGTATATCCAAGATTATCAACCACTTGACTGTACAACCAGGAATCATAACACATTTGAGAACAACCAGTGGCAAAATAGGAAAATGGGCCAATGAAGAAGATAGGTGACTAATAAATAAAAATCTGATATCAAGTGTAGGCAAGTTGTAGGGAAAATGGGTGATGAACGAATAGAACAAATGCCTGGGGTAAACATCATTCGAAAGCCCAGAAAGAAGCTTTTAGACATCTTTATTGCTTTTTGGGGGGGCGGGGGGGGTGGGGTTCTGGAGGATTGATGGCTGAACTCTCATGAAAAGGGTGCAGTCAGAGAACAAGAAAGAGTTCCCAGGAATTAAAATTGTAAACAGAAAAGCAAATTCAGGGTAATTGCTGAAAGACCCACCAAAGGATCTCCAAGATACAATTGAGAAAATCAACCCTAACATAAAGGCAAAAGACAAAGGTGGGTTATTTGAGCGAGAAGTGGTTTGAGGATTTGCAAATATTTGTTTAGTATTGAATATGTGCCAAGCACACATTACAGAATACGTTACTTATGGGAAGTAACTTAGCCTTGAAGTAGCTCTGTGAGGATGCATGTGTTTCCTTTACCTATAATTCTATAGGAAAGGCAATTTTTAAAAATAAATCAAGGTTGGATTTCATCAATTTTACAGAATACGCATAACTTTATAAAATTTTCAAAATTCTCTAAAAACCTATTGAGATAATTAAACAAGCGTTTTTCTCCTTTAGTCTGTTAATGTGGAGAAGTATTTTCTGATGTTGAAACATACTTGCATTCCTGATATAAGCCATACGTATGATAACATATTTTGCTTGTTTGCTATTATTAATTCTGAATTTGGTTCACTAAGATTTTGTTTGATTTTGCATGTATATTTGTAAGTGAGATTGGTCTATAATTTTCTTGTGTGGTTTTGGTATCATGCTATAACAGCTTCTGAAAATGTGTTAGAAAGTGTTTTCTTGTTAAAGTTTTAAACCTTCTGAGAATTGGTTGAGGAGGAGCTTGAAAATTTGTTAAAATTCACCATAAAAATATCAGGACCTGAAATTTTGTTATTGTTGTCAGTAAATAAAAATTATCAACTGTCTTTTTAATTGCTTTACTGATTATTGCTCTATTCATAATATCCATTTTTTCATGAGTCAGTTTTGGTAATTTACATTTATCGAGATAGTTGTCCGTTTCATCTAAGTTTTAAAATATATTGGTACAGCTATTGTGGTATTCTCTGAATAATTTTAAAATCTCTCTTGTGTCTTCCTGATTTGTCCTATTTAAATTTTTTTGATTAATCAATTTATATTTTCATATTGTTTTCTCTCTCTCTCTCTCTCATAATGTTATGGTTTAGATAGGAATGGTCCAGGGTGGAATGACACAAGTAAAGAAACAATAATGTGGTTTTGTGTACTATAAGGAAACATATAAAAGAAGGCATGGGAATACAAAGGAATCAATTAATTGCACATTAAGTATTTGTTAAGGTCCAATAATTTGAAAAATATTAAGAAAAGTGATACTGTCCTTGCTGGACATAGGACATTAAACAGACCCTGTTAAACAATGTTGAGAACAAATTAAGGCTATTTAAGGTAGTTCGATAGCAGTCAATTATAAAATGTGCATATCTTGTGATTGAGCAAATGCACTTCTAGATATTACTATATAGAAATGTAGAAGTGTGCCAAGCTAAACAACCATAGATGTTCATTGCAGCCCTGTTTGAATGGTCATAGAAAATCCGGGATGAGAGTCCAAAGACTCAGCAAACAACAATTTAGCAATTTTGCTACTGCATAAAAGGGTGCCCCCTTTTCAAGCCCACAACAGAGATGTTGCTACTAATCCTGAATTCAACCCAGTTTGTTGCACATTTTAGGATTTCATCCTGATGACTAATTTTAGGGTCACCTATATTTGGTTACCACCTCTATTTGGTTGCAAATAAAACCGAGCACAAGTTGACTGGCAGAAAAAGAGACTGTGCTAGCTCATATCATTGTAAAGTCAGCCAGAAATTTGGCTTATGGCAAAGTTTGGTCTAAGACTCAAACAATCTCGCTAGATCTCCTGACAGTAGGGAAGATGGTGGGTCCCAGTTTTTTTTGTTTTGTTAATCAATAGTGAGGATTGGGAATGTGGAGAAGAAAGGAGGAAGATGCAGTAAAAAAAAAAAAAAAAATGCTTTGGACTTTCCAGACCCTGCATCATTTTGTTTTGGGATTGGCTTCCTTCTTCCTTTTTAGTGCTTCATGATTCACCCTTCATCCTACAGACATAGGTGTTGATGATGGATCATTGAGGGATGTGCTTGACATTTTGGGAACAAGTGGCCTTTGAGGATGGGACTGTGGATGTGGCCTCTGTATCCCAGTCAGATAAAACTATACAGAAACATAATTTTCTTATATATTTTGGATATTATCTTCTTATCAGATGTATATATTTACAAATATATATGTATATATTTACAAATATATTCTCCTCCCATTTGTAGGTTGTCTCTTTGCTCTGCTGGCCTTTTTTTTCTTTGCTGTATAAAAGCTTTTTAGTTTGATGAAATCCCGTTTGTTTATATTTGGTTTTGTTGCTTATGCTGTTGAGATTTTATCCAAAAACTCTTTGCCTAGACCAATGTCATGGATTTTCCCCCTATATTTTCTTCTAGTAGTTTCATAGTTTCAGTTCTTACATTTAAGTCTTTATTTAATACATTTTGAGTTAATTTTTTGTGCATGGTGAGGGATAGGGTCTAGGTTCATTCTTCTGCATATGAATATCCAATTCCCCAGCACCACTTATTGAAGAGGCTGTCCTTTCCCCATTGTGTGCATGTGGCTCCTTGGCTGAAAATCAGTTAGCTAGAGATGCATGGGTTTATTTCTGGGATTTTTATTCTGTTTCATTGATCTATGTGCTTGTTTTTATGCCAGGACCATGCTGATTTGGTTACTATAGCTTTGCAGTATGCTTTGATTGTCAGGAAGTGTAATGCCACTAGCTTTGTTCTATTTGTTTAAGATTGCTTTGGCAACTCAGGGTGTTTTGTGCAGGTTTTAGGAATTTTTGTGGTTTCTAATTTTAGGATCTTCTACTTCTTCGAAGAATATCATTGGTGTTTTGACAGAAATTGCATTGAATCTGTAGACCACTTTGGGTGGTAAGGACATTTTAGCAATATCAGTTCTTCCAATTCATGAACATGGAATATCTTCTATTTGTGCGTGTGTCTTTTTCAATTTATTTCATCAATGTTTTACAGTTTTCATTATAAAGGTCTTTTACTTCCTTGGTTAAATTTACTTCTTTTGTTTCAGCTATCATAAAAGATAGCTTAAAAATTTTAGCAGTAGATAGCTAAGAATAAATTGTATTCTTTTTCAGATAATTCATTATTGGCTATTACTGGTATTACTGGTGGACTATTGCATAGCATGGTTGATTAGAGTTAACAATAATGTATTCCATATTTCTTTTTTTTTTTTTACTTTTATTTTTTGAGACAGGGTCTCGCTCTGTTACCTACACTGAAGTATACAGTGGCACAATCTCAACTCACTGCCAACTCAGCCTCCCCAGCTCAAGCAATCCTCCCACCTCAGCCTCCTGAGTGACTGGGACTACAGGTGTATGCCACCATGCACAGCTAATTTTTGTCTTTTTGTAGAGACAACAACTCGCTATATTGTCCAGCCAGCATAGTCTTGAACCCCTGGGCTCAAGCAGTCCACCCATAATGGATGAGAAAGTGTTGGGATTACAGCTGAGATGGGATTGCGGGGGGCGGGTTGGGGAAGGTGAGGTTCAGAGAGGGCAGGGCCTGCAGGGAGAGGGGCTGCAGGGAGCTAGATACTGCCCCCCAAGGAGGAGGGAGCACTGTTCCCATCAGAGTGCACATCTCCTTGCAGCAGCTGCACAAATAGAGAGCCCTGGCCAGGCTGATGGAGCCTCCCATGCCTGCTTTGCCCCAGGGTGTGGATTCTGAAATCTGTGCCCCTAACGGGTGGGACTGAGGTCCACAGTGACATCCCAGGGGAATCTATGATTCCAAACTCCAGCCACCCCGCCTACAAAATAGGAAAACGCTATGCTTTTCCTATTAAATCCCAAATTCCATCAGTGCAAGCTCTCACCCTCTAAATCAGAAAGTTCAGTCATTCCTGGCGTCCTCCCACACCCCCAGCCTGACTTGCAGACACACAGGGTGGCTGACACCTGTCCCTGCTCCTCCCCCTGGCCCAGCTGCTGTGCATCCTGGAGGTGATGAATGATCAGGACAAGGGAGCCTAGAGCGGGCCCCACAGCTGTCAGGAAGCCAGGACTCAGCCTCCAGGCGGCAGTCACCCTGGTGCCACAGCGACAGCGCTGATGGCCATTCTGAAGACTGGGGGTGTCAGGAGAGCTGGGCGTCCCACAGAACTGCACAGAATAATGGGGAACGAGGGTGACACAGGACTCAGGATTTCAGATGGGTAGGTAGGCTCAGCTGGGAGCTCAGGGACAGACCTGAGGAGCCTCAGTGGGAAGTGCTGAAGTGGAAAGTTCTGGAATGTTTCAGGAAAAAGGCTGGAGGCTTAGAGGAAAGGCTGTCGCTCCTAATATGGCTGGCAACCCTGGATGGGCTGTGTTCCTCCCACCTGCCCATCCTCTCACTGCTGCCACCTCTAGGGACACAACCTCTCTTCATGTCCACCTTCCCAAACTCACCTGCACTCCTCCATTATCTGACTTTATGTGAAAGCAGTGCTAAGATCCCTCTCCTGCAATGCAAGAAGGAGATGAGAGGCCCGGGTCCCCACAGACAACTCAGCAGTGGGGTCCTGCTGAAGTGGGACCGGGCAGAATCATGCACTCCCAACATCCTGGATCCTGACTGGGGGTAACAGTGAAGTTCAAAGACCATGCCATCAAAATCTCCAGAGTGAGGCTCCTCCCTGGGGTCCCTGAGGTCTGTCCAGGAGCTGCTCCCTGAGCAAATCTAGAGCGTGGAGGGCTGGGGTTGTGGCAGTAAAAGCAGCCACATTTGTCTCAGGGTGGAAAGGGAGACGGTGAGCTCCAGTAAGGGCAAGGGCGCCATCTAGTGGGCGCCTCCTGCTAAGGAGCAAGGAGACCAGGAGAGCGGAGATCAGGGCTGGCCTTGGACTAAGGGGTGAGTTCAGGTGGAGGGGACTGAGGTGTAAGGAGGCGGGTGAAGTGGGGAAGTGGTGGGGAGACATGGGAGGAGCAGGTGAGGGGAAGCTTCAGGGAAGCTGCGGGAGGGCACAGCAGGGCTCTCCACTCCTCAGCATTGACATTTGGGTGGTCAAACTGGTGGGGCTCTGTGAACTGCAGGGTGTTCAGCACCATCCACCCACTCAATGCCAGCAGGACTCCCTCCCCCAGCTCTGACAACCAACAATGTTTCCAGACTTTGCCAAATGTCCCCTAGAGGGCAAAATTTCCCCTGGCAGAGTCACTGATCCACACTAATCTCTAATAACAATTCACCAGTAAAATCCTTCACTTGGGAGAAGAATCGCATGTGTGGGAAGAGTAGAAACTTATATCTTCAATATCTGTCAAAATGGCTTTCATTTATTCCATAATTTGATGTACCAGGAGAAGGCATGTTTAGAGATGATGCCATTTGGCTGCCTGTACCTCACAGCAGGAATGACATGGGCTTTCCAAGGATCTATACAACAAAAACCAGAATGACACACACTGAGTTACACTACAAAGTGGGACATGGGGGATCCTGTAGACATTGAAAGAAGAAAATGCATGACCCCAAGGCACCAGATAGTCCACTCTGATGCTCTCACCATCCTAGAAAACATCTCAGCCATGAATGCAGTCACATATGTCATTAGGAAGGAATGTCTTATTAAGGGGAAAATTGTAGCAAAGGAATTTCTGTTTATGTTCAAATTTGTAGACTTTTGTATTATTCTTTAAATAAGAATCTACTCTCCCCCAAAATGAATGCAATCAGTGTCTGGACAGTGTTGGGGTCTTACTCCTGGCCCCTGGGAGCTGGGAGCTGACAGTGCCCTGCTGCCCCAGCCCTGGGCCTTCTCTGAACCTCAAGAACACTGGATGGCCCCCATTTAGGGAGTAGAGAGGAGAGGTCTTTTAAACATCCTCACCAGTCACCTCTCCACCTTTCAGACCCTGGGCAGAATCTGTTGCCCACTCTTGGATTTGATCTTTAAGTTACTGACTTTAAAGCATTTTGACACTTTTTTTTTTTTTTGGTAGTCAGAAGCTTTCCACCTCCTTGGGAAAAGTGATTCTCTACTCTATGTACAGGAATAACCAGTAGAAATAGAGAAAAAATGCATTAATATTCAGAAAGAAGATGATCTCTATGTGAACAAATGAAAGCTTAAAATCATCAGAGTCAACATAAAATCAACATTGCCAGTGCTAAAACTACAAAAGTGACATTAACGGTGAACTAGAAGAATAAAACAAGCATTACAGTTGCTGGTAAACCTAAATCACTTATTTTTTTAAAAGACCATTCTGGTATATTGCAATGATGACAGGAGTGCCCTTCAGTCAATATGATGCCTGTAATTTTTGTGACCTGGCAAGATATACTGTCCCTTCTCCTTTTAAATCTCAAATGCAAAATGAGAGGCAACTCCTGGGTCACCCCCTCCCAGAGCAAACTGCCTGCAAGCAGCCCCTGGAAGAGCAGAGGCCCTAGTTTCCCTGATCCTCAAGGCAGGAGCGATGGGAAGCTCCCTGTAAGCCGGGGGAGAGCTTTGTTCCCAGAATGTTCCTCCTCTTCCCAGAGGCACCAACCCCGATGCCCTGACACTTACCTTCTGCTCTCTCGCCCAATGTTCACTCAAATATTGAGTGCTTGGTGAGTCTGCAGAGCTCAGGAACTTCTGGGAGCCAAATCACCACCAGCTCCTCCAGAAAAGATACCTGTGCACACCCAAAACCACCCCACTGAGCCCTGCCTGGGGTCTGTACCACATCCAGCATGTGCACTGTGAGCATAGAATCCGGCCCTGAATTCATGACCACCCACCAACATGCCCCCAACTGAAACCAGCAAATTCCCACACATGGCAAGCACTGAGGCTTGGAGGTGCTTTCTCACGAGGTGGTTCTGCTTCCACCATGGGGTGGTTGTCACTGACACTGGAAGTTGCTCAGCACCTGATAGTGGTGCAGGACTCAGGGACCCTCAACATCAATCTGGTGAAGGCAGATGGGGCCCCTCCAGATCTTCTCCCACCTGCAGGTGCCCAGCTCAGTAAGACCCCAACCCTGGGAGGAGGATCCAGACCCCTGTGCCAGGTAGACCAAGCTTGAGGCCTCAGGCAATGAGAGAGAAGGAGATGGAGGTCTGACCAGGAGCTGCTCTTCCTTGAGAGCCCGGGTCCCTTCCTTGTGCAAAGGCTTGGCTTATGAACAGAATCCTCAATCTGTAGTGACAGTGCCTAAGAGGATGACATGGACTCCGGCCTGATGTGCAGCCGTCCCTGTCTAACCCCTCCCTGCTGCAGGACAGCACCAGCCCAGGAGAGGAATCCTCAGTTGGGGAGCCAGTAAGAACATGGAATACTCGGGGCCTCTTACCTTCCTCCAGTCCACAGCAGCAGCCACCGTTTGTGCCTAGGACACCCACCTGCTGGCCCTTCTGACCCTTACAGTCAGGCCTTCCAGATGCCACTCCTGACTCAAGGCCCAGCTACTTTCACCCTGCTGAGCCCTGCTCCTCCCAACCAGGGTCACTGCCTTGCTAAGCACCTCCTCCAGCTCCAGCTGACTGGTCACCCAACACCCAAACCCCAGAGGACAAACAAGAAAATAAACAGATATGAAGTCTGAAGGAGATGCAGGCTATGAAGACAAATAAAAGAGTAAGCATGAATATAACTCCACCAACAAAATTGTTTCCCAAAACAAAATCTTCTGTGCCCATGATCATGGAACTAATTGTCCCTCACTATGTAGGCAAGCACTTCCAGGGTCTCTCAATTATTTCATGGGTGTCAATATACACTGTAACATAGCAACTCAGAAAAGAAAGTGGGAATAATTTATCTACTTAGATTAAGGTCCTAAAAAGGTCTCCAGACTGCCAAAAAAGGAGAGCTGAACCACTCCTGCTTTGAGAACCATTGAACTACATCTTTTTTAAAAGTCACCCCAGAATGGCCAAAACAATCTGGAAAAAAAAATTGGAGGACTCACTTCCTAATTTGAAAACTTACTAAAACACTACAATCATTAAAACAGTGTGCTTCTGGCACAAGAATGCACATAGAGATCAATGGAATAGAATCAAGAGTCCAGAAATAAACCCTCACCATTACAGCCCATTGGTTTTTGACATGGGTGCCAAGATTCCTCAATGGGGAAAGAATGGTAGCCTCTTCATATTGTGCTGGAACAACTGGATAACCACATGCGAGATAGTGTAGTTAGACCCCTACCTCACAGCCCATACAAAAGTTAACTCAAAATGTTTCAAAAACCTAAATGGAATAGCAAAACTTATCAAACCATTAGAAGAACATATAGGAGTAAAACTTAATGATCTTGGATTGGGCAATGGTTTCTTCAATATGACATCAAGAGCATAAGTAACAAAATTAAAAATAGATAAGTGAACTTCATCAAAGTTAAAAATGTTTGTGCTTCAAAGAACACCATGAAGAAAGTGAGAAGACACAGAATATGAGAAAAATTTTGCAAATCATGTACCCCATAAGGGACTTGTATCTAAAATATATAAAGAACTATTACAACTGAATAATAAAAAGATAACCCATTTTTTTTAAACAGCAAATGATTTGAATAAATAGTTCTCTAAAAAATATTAAAATTGTCAGCAAATACATGAAAAAATGCTCAACTTCATCAGCCACCAGGGAAATGAAAATCAAAACTGCAATGAGCTATCACTTCACACCTACTAGAATGGCTATAAGTTTTAAAAAATATTAAATAGTAAGTGTTTACAAGAATGTAGAGAAAATGGAACCCTCGTATATTGCTGATGGGAATATAAAATAGCACAGCAAACTGGAAAACAGTTTGGCTGTTTCTCAAAAACTTAAACATAGAACTACCACATGACCCCATATTTATACTCCTATATGTACCCCCAAAGAAATGAACACAGAAACCCAAACAGATACTTCCAAGTGTAAGTTCATTGCAGCGGTTTTCACAATAGCAAAAATGTGGAAACCACCCACATGTCCATTAAGAGATGAATGAATTAAAATTGAGGTATAAACATATATTGGGATATTACTCAGCCATAAATAGGAAAGAAGCTGTAATATATGCTACGACGTGGATGAATCTTAAAAGTGTTACCCTAAGAGAAATAATCCAGAAAAAAATAATACACGTATATAATTCCTTATTATATGAGACATGTAAACTAGGCAAATTCACAGAGATTGATAGTATCAGAGGCTACCAGTGGGTGGGGCAGGGGGAAGTGGGGAGTTATTGATTAAAAGTATGAAGTTTCCATTTGGTATAATGAAGATTTTCTGGTAAAAAATTATGGTGATGGTTGTACAACATTGTGAATAGAATTAGTATCATTTAATTCTACACTTAAAATTGCTAATTCAGTACATTTATCTTATGTATTATACCATATCTAAAGAGATCTTTGGGAAACAAACACTCGCCCTGATCAGATAGTCCTCATACTCATGTACACACCCTTCCTGACCTTCTGTAAAAAGGGATACAAAGATTTAGGGACATGAGACAGTTCAGGCAACTGCAGATCCACAAAATATATGTATTTGCAAAGAGAATGAGAGTTAAGCTGGGGGCACAGACCCCAGACACGGAGAGGGTCCCCCTGAAACCTTCACCAAGGACAGCAGAACCCAGAGCCTCCCACCTCCTTCCATCAAAGTCCTCTCTTCCCAGGACACACAGGACACCTCCCTCCACACCTAGGAGCTGGGGATCCTCCCGAGACCTCCAGGCCTGGGTCTCTGTCCCTGGGTCAGAGGCCAGGCTGGTGACACTGAAGATAGCGGGTGGGTCCTTCCCAGCCATCACCCAGTGAGCCCCTTTCTAGCCCCCAGAGCCACCTCTGTCACTTTCCTGCTGGGCATCATTCTGCCTTCCTGGAGCACTGGAGAGCATGAGGAGACCCAGGGCCCAGCTGGTTTTGTGTGTCACAAAGGGAAATAATCTACCGGCTGTGACAGAACCAAGGCCAGAACACAGCAGAGGTCAGTACTGGGGAGAGTGGGTCGTCCTGTTATGAGGACCCCATCAGCGTTGCTTCTCAAAGTTTTGCCTAGGGAACCAAATATAGGCAAAAAGGAAGGAGAAAGGAGGGACAAGGGAGGCAGGACTGAGAGGGGAGGGGACAGAGAGACATTGTAGGCAGAGCCCCGCCCTTGCCCATAAACGGGAAGTGCTCCTGCCTGAGAGGAAGCTCAGCATAGAGGAAGGAAGGACAGCAGAGACAACAGTCACAGTAACCCTGTCTAGAGCGTTCCTGGAGCCCAAGCTCCTCTCCACAGAGGAGGACAGAGCAGGCAGCAGAGACCATGGGGCCCCCCTCAGCTTGTCCCCACAGAGAATGCATCCCCTGGCAGGGGCTCTTGCTCACAGGTGAGGGGAGGACTCCCTGGGAGTGGGTGGGAGGAGGGAGCACAGAGACTGGCTGGGGTCTCCTGGGGAGGATGGGGCTCTGAGAGGAGACAGAGGGCTTTTGTTAGAGACTCAGGGGAGAGAGCGTCTAAGGAGAACCAAAAAATCTAAGTGAACTGGAATTGCCAAGGGGCAAAACAATCTCAGTTGGTCCATGTTTTCAAGTTCATTGTCAGTGGCCACTACACTTTGAAAATGATAGTAAAACTATATCACAGTGACAATTTAAATAAAAACACCACCAGGGCATGAAACTCTGTCTTCATCTGCCAACCTCAGACATTAGCAAATAAACCCCAGGATATGGAAGGCCCTGGGAACGCTCATGAACTCATCCACAGGAGTCTGCAGCCTGTCCCAGGCACTGGGGTGCAACTAACATCACTCAAGTCCATGCCCTCACAGAGCTCACAATCTCATGGGGGGGAAGACAGACACCCAAAGAGATCTAGAATGTGAGGTCAGGTGCTGACAAGAGCCCTGGAGGGAACAGAGCTGGGAAAGGTCAGAAAGGGAAGACCCAGGGTCTCTAGAGGAGGCTTCACGAAAGAAGTCTCCCAGGGATTCCCTTGTGTGAGTAGGAACTGAAGGCAGTGGGGAGGGAACCATGCAGACCCCTGGGAAAGAGGGTTCACACAAGGAAATGCCAAGGTCAGAGGTACTGAAGGAATGAGGGTCATGCTGCTGACTTTGACCCAGTAGGACACACACACACACACACACCCTCTAAGGCTGAGGGGTGAAGAGACCTGCACCCAGGACCCCGTCTTTCCATGCCAATGCATAGGTCAAATATTGACTGATATTCTCTCCCTTTCCTAGCCTCACTTTTAACTTTCTGGAACGCACCCACCACTGCCTGGCTCTTTATTGCATCAGCGCCCTTTGAAGTTGCTGAAGGGGAGAATGTTCATCTCTCTGTGGTTTATCTGCCCGAGAATCTTTACAGCTATGGCTGGTACAAAGGGAAAACGGTGGAGCCCAACCAGCTAATCGCAGCATATGTAATAGACACTCACGTTAGGACTCCAGGGCCTGCATACAGCGGTCGAGAGACAATATCACCCAGTGGAGATCTGCATTTCCAGAACGTCACCCTAGAGGACACGGGATACTACAACCTACAAGTCACATACAGAAATTCTCAGATTGAACAGGCATCTCACCATCTCCGTGTATACGGTGAGTGATTCCTCCGTGCCTCTGGGTGTTGGGGGTCAGTTCTGCTTCACATACGCAGGATTGTCAGGCCTGGGCTGTGCCTGCATCCCCCTCTGCATTACGTCCCATGTTGGGGTTTGGGCATTTAGTGCAGGACACACCCAGGGGAGACAAACTATAACAGATCAGAATTCCTTTCCCTTATCCGGACTCCGTGGAAATTCCCTACAGCAAGAAGGATAGTCTGATGCGGGAGATGCAGCGGGGGAAAATCAGTCTCAGTCCAACCCCCCTTGGCCTCCTCCTCATAGACATGACCTGAGAAAGATCTTATAGGACTCAGTCAGGGCCTGGCCTGAGGATCCTCTGAGAGAAGCTCAGCCCTTGAAGCCCCTGCCCCAGGCCCCTGTCCCAAGATCCTGACTCCAGATGACCCTGGGGAGCCTGTGCCAGGGCTGGGTTGTGGCTTCCTGGGCAGGGCTGATTGTGAGCAAGGATTTACCAGCTGTCCCAGGGCCGTGGTTCCTAGAGCTGGTCACCAGGCAGGGCTCAGCCCCCAGAGCCCCATCTGGGCAAGGGCAGAGCCTCATCTTTCACCTGAGAGTCAGAGTGGAGAGGACAGACAAACAAACTTCCCAGGCCATTAAACTGGATGGGAAACTTAAAAGATGTCCCGGGAAGTGCACTGTCCTCAGGAGGAGGGAAAGCAGAGAAAAGACACTCTGGACCGCTCCTTCTCCACCAGGAATCAGGCCCAGAGAACTCTTTTTTTTTTTTTTTGGAGTAAAATAATAATAGATGATGTTTATTTGGAGCTATTCTGTGCCAAGCTTTAGGTCAGGTAATTGTAAATATTTTAATGTTAATTTACAGAGAGGATGGCAAGCCAGGGACCATTGACATGTACCCCATTTTATTAAAGAGAAATTGCATCAGCATCACACAGGCTGTCAGTGCTCAACGTCACACCACCGTGTGTCTGCAGCCCAGAATCTGGTCGTGGCCACCACCGTGGGGCATCTGTGGACCCCAGGACCAGATGTTGGTTCAGCTCCTTTCTTCTTGGGCATCCTCAGCTCAGAGAGGGAGATTCTGGTCTGAGGAATGACGGGCAAATGGAGAATTAGTCAGTTTTTACTTAGAACGAAATCACCTGTCTCAACTATCAGACTCAATGCCAGGATTGTCCAAGCCTCTCCCATCAGATCCACATTCCTTCCCTCACTGGACGTGAAATCATGAATTTCTTGATTTGTTGATGTCACTCCCATGGGAGGATGAAGGAAAGGACTCAGCTTTCTCTTCCCACTACACCCTGTACCTGCACAAGGCCCAACTGAGACACACACTCAGTAGTTCTCTGATGAAGGAGGGAGGGAATTAATGAAAAAAGAAAGGAATAATCATAACCTCTTTACAGACTGGGTCCTGGATGTAGGATCCTAGGAGGAGCTGGCCACACCTCTTCCTTGTCCCTTAGGGGCTGAGACCCATGTTCCATTTCTCTGACTGCCTGCTCCTAAAGCCACCCCAGGTATTGCATCTCATGTGACTCTGGGGCCGCTCATCTGTGGGAGGGTTTTCAGGGCTCCCTGGTCCTGGTCTGAGGCAGCTGGGTCCTCCTGGTCCCTGGGGTCTCTGAGGTCACTGTAGTCCCTACTGCTCGCTGCTATGGGTGTCTCTGGTTCTCTCTGCTCCTCCCTGTCCTTCATCTTTCTCCTTTATTCACAGGAGAATGTTCTAAATTTGACTCTGAGATCTCTGAGGATGCAGCATGGCCCCAAGACACTTTCTGTTGGTCACTCTATCCACAGAGTCAGTGGCTCAGCCCTCCATCCAAGCCAGCAGCACCACAGTCACAGAGAAGGGCTCCGTGGTCCTGACCTGCCACACAAATAACACTGGAACCTCTTTCCAGTGGATTTTCAACAACCAGCGTCTGCAGGTCACGAAGAGGATGAAGCTGTCCTGGTTTAACCATGTGCTCACCATAGACCCCATCAGGCAGGAGGACGCTGGGGAGTATCAGTGTGAGGTCTCCAACCCAGTCAGCTCCAACAGGAGCGACCCCCTCAAGCTGACTGTAAAATGTGAGTGACCCTCGGCCCCTCTCACTCCTTTCCTTGTATATTTTCCTAGGAGGGAGGGGGGGTGTAAAATGATACACGGAATGAGAAGGATGAGATTCCTTCAGAGCCTGGGGAGCAATGTGGGTAAGAACTCAGGGATTAGACTCATCCAGTTATCATCCTGGTTACAATAGGTACCAGGTATTTGACCTTGGGCAAGACACTCAACCTCCTGGGCCTCAGTTTCCTCATCTGTAGAATTGTTACAAACACCTGGACCTCAGGGTGGTTGTGAGGATATTTATTCAGAGATTAATGCGATTAAAGCCCTTAACAAGGTCATGCACAGAGCCAGGGCTCAATCAGTGCTATCAATATCGACTGGTATTATTTTTATGAACTTTGTTGTTATTAGCTGTTAAGTTGAGCAGACTTTGGTTACATTTTTGTTGTATCACTTTCACTTACCAGTTCTGTAATCTTAATTGAAGTACTGAATCTTAATTGAAGTACTGAATCTTAATTGAAGTACTGAATTGAAGTACTTCAATCTTAATTGAAGTACTGAAACTATAAGTTTCAGATTCTAAATTGGCAGATGGGATTCCACCCTGTTTGGAAAAACTCAAACTGTGTTTTTCCTCTGCTCTCACTCCACAATAACAATCATCAACACAGACACACTTCTGTGACCAAATGTGATGGGGGGGGGTTTCTCCCACACACCCAGCAGCCAATCAGTTCTGCACCGTACATCAGCTAGGTGTCCTCCAATTCCATCCTGACACTATCTACCTGGACATATCAGCAGAGGGCTCAGTCCCACAAAATTGCCACCACCTTCCCACCAGTCACAAGTCTGGGCCTCCAGAGCTTCTTATGACTGGCTTCACATTGAGGTTTCCATGACTCCCTGTTTGGGTTGGATTAGTTTGCTCAAACAGCTCTCAGGACTCAGGGAAACACATACTTAGGCTTACCGGTTTGTAATAAAGGACTTTACAAAGGATGCAGATGAAGAGATGCACAGAGCATGGCATGTGGGAAGGGGTGTGGAGCTTCCATGCCCTCCCCAGATGCACCACACTCCAGAAACTTCCATGGGTTCAGCTCTTCAAACCCAGTCCTTTTGGGGTTCATGACATAGATATGATTGATTTAATCATTGGCCATTAATTGATTCAATCATTGGCCATTAATTGATTCATTGGTCATTGGTGATTAATTCAAACTCCAGGTCCCTCCCCAGGGATTAGGGGTGAGGCTGAAAGTCCCAACCCTCTAATCCTACCTGGGTCAGTGACCAGCCTCATTCTGAAGTTGCCTAGGGGCTGCCAGTCATCAGTCAATTATTAGCTTGAAAAAGACATCACTTTGAAGATTCTAAGGACTTTAGAGTCACATACCAGAAAATGGGTGTATTAGTCTGTTGGGAGCAAGCCCCCCAAAATCTGGCCATAAACTGGCCCCAAAACTGGTCATAAACAAAATCTCTGCAGCACTGTAACATGTTCATAATGGCCCTAATGCCCAAGCTGGAAGGTTATGGGTTTACAGGAATGAGGGCAAGGAATACCTGTCCCACCCAGGGTGGAAAACCGCTTAAAGGCGTTCTTAAGCCACAAACAATAGCATGAGCAATCTGCATCTTAAGGGCGTGTTCCTGTTGCAGTTAACTAGCCCAACCTATTCCTTTAATTCGGCCCATCCCTTGGTTTCCCATAAGGGATACTTTTAGTTAATTTAATATCTATAGAAACAATGCTAATGACTGGTTTGCTGTTATTAAATATGTGGGTAAATCTCTGTTTGGGGCTCTCAGCTCTGAAGCCTGTGAGAACCCTGATTTCCCACTTCACACCTCTATATTTCTATGTGTGTCTTTAATTCCTCTAGCACTGCTGGGTTAGGATCTCCGCGACCGAGCTGGTCTTGGCTGCTGATAAAGACATACCTGAGACTGGGTAATTTTTTTAAAAATGAGGTTTAATTGACTTACAGTTCCACATAGCTGGGGAGGCCTTGAAATCATGGCAGAAGGCAAAAGGCATGTCTTACATGGCGGCAGGCAAGAGGGCATGTGTAGAGGAACTCCCCTTTCTAAAACCATCAGATCTTGTGAGACTTATTCACTATCATGAGAACAGCATGGGAAGAATCCACCCCCATGATTCAATTACCTCCCACTGGGTCCTTCCCCCAACACGTGGGGATTATTAAAATTCAAGGTGATATTTGGGTGAAGAAGAGCCAAACCATGTCATTCCACCCGACCCCTCCCAAATCTCATGTCCTCACATTTCAAAACTAATCATGCCTTCCAACAGTTCCCCAAAGTCTTAACTCATTCCAGCATTAACCCAAAAGTCCAAGTCCAAAGTTTCATCTGAGACAAGGCAAGTCCCTTCCACCTATAAGCCTGTAAAATCAAAAGCAAGCTTAGTTACTTCCTAGATATAATGGGTGTACAGGCACTGGGTAAATACAACCATTCCAAATGGGAGAAACTGGCCAAAACAAAGGGGCTACAGGCCCCATGCAAGCCCAAAATCCAGCAGGGCAGCCAAATCTTAATGCTCTGAAATGATCTCCTTTGTATCCATGTCTCACATCCAGGTCACACTGATGCAAGAGCTGAACTCCCATAGCCTTGGGCTCCACCCCTGTGGCTTTGCAGGGTACAGCCCCACTCCTGGCTGCTTTCATAGGCTGGCGTTGAGTGTCTGCAGCTTTTCTAGGTGCATGGTGCAAGCTGTTAGTGGATCTACCATTCTGGGGTCTGGAGGATTGTGGTCTTCTTCTCACAGCTCCATTAGGCAGTGCCCCAGTAGGGACTCTGTGTCGGGGTTCCAACCCCACATTTCCCTTCAACACTTCCCTAGCAGAGGTTCTCCATGAGGGCTCTGCTTCTGCAGCAAACTTCCACCTGGACATCCAAGCATTTTCATACATCCTCTGAAATCTAGGCGAAGGTTCCCAAACCTCAATCCTTGACTTCTGTGCACCTGCAGGCTCAACACCACATGGAAGCTGCCAAGGTTTGGGGCTTGCACCCTCTGAAGCCATGGCCCCAGCTGTACCTTGGCCCTCTTTAGCCATGGCTGGAGTGGCTGGGATGCAGGGCACCAAGTCTCTAGGCCGCACACAGCAGGGGAGCCCTGGGCCTGGCCCAGGAAACATTTTTTCCTCCTAGGCCTCCAGTCCTGTGATGGAAGGGGCTTCCAGGAAGGTCTCTGACATGCCCTGGAGACATTTTTGCCATTGTCTTGGGGATTAACATTTTGCTCTTCATTGTTTATGCACATTTCTGCAGCTGGCTTGAATTTCTCCTCAGAAAATGGATTTTTCTTTTCTATTGCATCATCAGGCTGCAAATTTTCCAAACTTTTATGCTCTGCTTCCCTTTTAAACATAAGTTCCAATTCCAAACCATACCTTTGTAAATACATAAAACTGAGTGTTTTTAACAGTACCCAAGTCACATCTTGAACACTTTGCTGCTTAGAATTTTTTTTCCACCAGTTGCCCTAAATCATTTCCCTCAAGTTCAAAGTTCTGCAGATCTCTAGGGCAGGGGCAAAATACCACCAATCTCTTTTCTAGAGTATAACAAGAGTCACCTTTGTTCCAGTTCCCAAGAAGTTCCTCATCTCTGTCTGAGACCACCTCAGCTTGGACTTTATTGTCCATATCACTATCAGCGTTTTAATCAAAACCATTCAACAAGTCTCTAGGAAGTTTCAAACTTTTTTCCTGTGTCTTCTTCTGAGCCCTCCAAACTGTTCCAACCTCTGCCTGTTACCCAGTTCCAAAGTCACTTCCACATTTTCAGGTATCTTTATAGCAGCACTCCACTAGCTGGTACCAATTTACTGTATTAGTCCATTCTCACACTGCTAATGAAGACATACCTGAGACTTGGTAATGTATGAAGAAAGAGGTTTAATTGATTCACAATTCCACATGGCTGGAGAGGTCTCACAATCATGATGGAAGGTGAAAGGCATGTCTTACATGGCAGCAGGCAAGAGGACATGTGTAGGGAAGCTTCCCTTTATGAAACCATCTGATCTCCTGAGACTTATTCACTATCACAAGAACAGGATGGAAAAAACCCACCCTCATGATTCAATTACCTCCCACAAGGTCCCTCCCATAACACATGGGGATTATTACAATTCAAGGTGAGATTTGGGTGGGGATACAGAGCCTAACCATATCAATGGTGATGAACACCAAATACGTATTTCACAATATCACATACCCTTCTCCCTCAAGGCAATGGGAGGGTGAGAAAAGCTGCAGGTAGATTGATTCCCACTGTGCCTTCCATGTGGAAGGCCCCTGAAAACAGTCAATGAACATCATCCCTGCTCATCAGCATTGAGTTGGCAGCAAGGGCCTGCCCTTTACGACTGCCATGGGATGGAAAAAAAGAAACAGGGGGAAGAGGAGTGATGTGAGAGGAAGGAGGGACTAAAAAACACAGGAGCAGGATGAGGTGCAGGCTTCCTGTGGGAGAATGTAGGAGTTGATGCATCCCAGTAATTCAAGCCTAAGACACAGAAAATGGTGCAACCACGGAGAGCAAGGGAGCCAGCTATGAGGACAGCACAACAGACCACACTCAGGCTCCATGGCATTTCCTTCCTCCCTGACCATGCCCCTGCCCTGCAAGGCCCCTCATGGTTCCCCCTGGAACAGATTTGGACCTCATCCCCTTTGCCTTCTTCTTTCAGCAGATGACAACACTCTAGGCATCCTGATCGGGGTCCTGGTTGGGAGTCTTCTGGTGGCTGCACTTGTGTGTTTCCTGCTCCTCCGAAAAACTGGCAGGTACCACAGCTTTTCCCCATTCTGCTCCCATCCTTCACGCTGACCCCAGGCGAGAAGGAAGGAGACCCTGTCTTGTATTCAGTGCCAGGCTCTCCCCAGCCTCCCGACTCCCCAGGGATCCTTCCCTCTCATTCCATGGCACCTTCCTCACCAGCTGCTGACCCTGGGCTGCTTCCTCAACAGCTTTGTCCTCAGTGAATTCAGTCCAATTAAGGCCATGCCCCTGAGCATGGTCCTAGTTTCCTAGCACAGCAAAGCCACAGCTGCCTGGAGCAGGGGGGAGCGGTGCTCAATACCTGGTACCTCCCCCTGTTCACTGAATCCATCCACCCAGTGAGAGGGCATCTGAGGGGGGATCCTGGGCATCATCACATAGTGGAGACTGGAACAGCCTGGACGGGCTGGGTGGGGTCAGCACCCCTTTGACTGACATGGTAACTGCAGACACTGAGCTGTGAGAAGGGAGAACCGGGGCCCCAATATGGCATATCCTGGAATGTCGTTTATGTCTCTTGCCAAAGGGCAGAGACAGAAGACAAGATCATTGTCCCATTTCAGCATCTCCAGCCCTGAGTGGAGTGTCTGGTCACAGCAGGGACACTGAGTTCCAGGAGAATCCAAGATGCATGCAGTCCCCTCAGTGTCCTGCACATGTGCCTGGCCCTGCTTTCCCCCTGGTGCCTTGACCCTTCCTCTCAGGCAACCCCTGGTGGTCTGATTCCTTCCCTGGGTCCTCAGTCCCTTTCCTGTGTCACTGGATCAATGTTCTCCTGGCCCAGCATCTGCCTGAGAGTCCTTCCCCTCTGGCCAGGACAGATGTGGCTTTGTAAGGCCTTTCCTCAACTCCCCTCACCTGGGCCCCTCCTACCACAGAACTCCATAAAGAAAGGAGGTCTCCATACCCCTCTTGGAAATAGGCTCCTTTCCTGGTCCCCTATTTTAACTCCAATTTGTGACTTTTAACCTTGCACCTTCACAAATAACCCTGACCTTTCCTAGGGCCAGCGATCAGAGTGACTTCAGGGAGCAGCAGCCCCCAGCCTCCACCCCCGGTGAGTGTCCCTTCAGTCTGGGTGTGGCTGGGAACTACTAAGCCAGCCCCAAGTTGTCCACTCCTGCCAGTTACACCCAGGGGCCTCTGACCCTATCCCTGGGGCTGCAAAGAGGATCCCATAAAACATCACACAGGAAACCCCAACTGGCCGGGTCAGCCCTAACCTCCGGGCTCTGGGTCATGGGTCACTTCCTCAACCTCACTTGCTTACTTGACCCCTAAAATAACCTGAGAAAGGCTCCCTCTCCCCAATTCTCTAAGAACTGAGGACCCCCACACACTCTTGCAGGAGGGGCCCAGCTATCCTAACACTCTCGTGCTCACTTTTGTCTCTGTCCCCAGGCCATGGACCCTCTGACAGCTCCATCTCCTAGGTAAGACTGTCCGTTCCCAATCCCATTTCCACTGGGGCCCCAGCTGTGCAGGCTCAGGGCAGGGGGACTGTCAATCCCCAGCACAAACCCACCCTACCCAGAATGACTTGGATAAGGTTAGACCTGCCCTGGCCATGAGCTGGGCCTCTGTTCAGGGCCAGGATCATCCACTCCCTGTGCTAACCCCACCCTGGGACCCTCCATCACCTGAGGAGAGCCCTGGAATTCCTACACAGCAGGAATCCTTCCCTGTCCCCTGACACCCCTCTCTCCCCTGCCCAGATTCCCCTACCCAGCACCAGGGCAGCTGCTCTCATCTATGAGGTGAGTGGGGGCCACAGATATTCTGGTCCCTTGGGCCCCAGGGAGACCCAGGATCTGTCCCCACTGGCATCTGGCTGAGCTGAAGTTCAGGAAACTGCAGTGAAAATAACAGGAGGTGGTGAGCAGAGGAGGGAGGGGCCTGGGAGCAGGAACCCCCTGAGCACAGCCAGGTTCAGTCCCAGAGTAGCCCTGGGTGGGCCCAGAGAGAGATGCCAGACCCTGTTCTGAGAAGGCCTCAGGGGTCAAGACCTCTTCTCTGTTTTTACAGGAATTGCTACACTCTGACACAAACATTTACTGCTGGATCGACCACAAAGCAGATGTGGCTTCTTAGGTTCCTCTGGGAGCTGCTCCTGTGGGTTGATGGAGCGTCCCTGAAGCCCCCAGCCCTGGGGATGGGGAAGGACATGGAGCCTGAGCCAGAGAACCAGCTCTGAGTCCTGAGGAGACACAGGCCTGGGGACAGGAAGGGATGGGGGTCCCTGCTGAATATATAGAGACCTCAACAGACTGCCCCGGGCTCTGGGTGGGCCAAGGCGAAGGCTTCCCATCACCACAGGAAGTGGGGGCTTGCAGGGAAAGTGAATGGGCCTATGGCCCACCCGGGGTCACCTGGAAAGGATCTGAATAAAGGGGAAACTTCCTCTCATTGGCTCTTTTTCTGCTCATGGGAACTTAGCAGAAACTCACCTGAAACTCCATGTCCATTCTCTCCTGGGTCACACAGGAAAAATATCTCCACCTTATCTCAACCCCAGTCTCTCTTCCCTGGAAAGACAGGAGTAGGGGGTTAGGAGTCAGGCTGGGGTGGACCCTACACAGGAAAGGGCAGGATTCGCAGGAGTCCTGCCCAGCCAGCTGAGTGCTCAGCTGTCCTCACACTACCCTAGAGACCAAGGCCATGCACAGCCCCAGCCTGGGTCCCTCTGTGAATGCATGAGATGTCTCAGGAGTGCAAAAGTTGGGGCCATCTGATGTCCACACAAAGGTGAGCAATGCAGGAGCATCCATGGGTGGTACAGATCGTGGGTGTGACCTCCACACAGCCTCCAGTGTCCTGAGCCCTCCTGCTCTCTTCACCCAGGCCCTGGAGGCCGTATCTATCACTGTCCCCCAGCAATGAGCTTGCCTGTCCCCAAATCCAGGATCCTGGATGCTTAGCTCTGGCCACCAGGTTCTCCTCTGTCCCAATGGCCACTGCTCAGGAGATCTTTATCCCCGTGGGACACAGAGAGGGGTTGTCAGAGTAACCAAGGTGGGAACAGACCAAGAATTCAGTCCTTGAGCAAGGTCCTCCCAGGCACTACCCAGGACTCTAGCCCCTCATTTCCCATCAGTTCCCAATTTACCCCCTGGCGTGGATCTCACTGAGCAAGCCTCCTCTCCACACAGGAGCGTCCAGGTCAGAGGAGCAGGGTTCCCCAACCTAAAGCTCGTGCAGGCTCCCATGGCGATGGGACAACCTGTCTGCCCCTCTACCTGGACCCACAGGCCCCTCCAGCCCTGCCTCACCTGCAGCTCCTCCACACACCTGGGCCAGCTGTTCTCAGCCCTTCCCTGAGGGCCCTGGGGAGAGTAACGATCTCATGTAGGTTCACTTGGACCAGGTGCTACCTTCCCACAAACAAGCCGGTCCCTCCACTAAAGCACAGAGCCGTGGTTTCCAAGGGTGTTCTGCCATTGTCCAGGGTTGTTGGCCATGAGATAGGAAGTAGGAAAAGCAACCTGCAATATTTACATCAGGATTTAGCTGTAAATGACCCTGGATCCCACCTGCACACAAGGTGACTCCTCTGTAGGTTCCTGTTGAGGCTGTGACAAATTCCCACAAGCTAAGTGACACAGAAACTTGAACCAAGGTGCCCACATGGCTGCGTTCTTTCTGGAGGCTCCAGGGCAGAGTGCGTTTCCTCTCCTTTTCCACCTCCTAGAGGCCTCCTGCATCCTTGGCTGTGTCCTCTTTCTCCATCTTCAAAGCCAGCAGTGCAGCATCTTGACACCGCTCTGTCTTCTGCATCTATCCCCACATCTCCTCCTCCTTCTCTGACTCTCCCACCTCCCTCTCTCATTTGTAAGGAAGGGATTCTGTGATTATGTTGGACCCATCTGGATAAACTACAATAATCTTCCAAACTCATAATCCTTCATTTAATCTGTAAGGTCTCTTACCATGTGACAGATTCACAGATGCTGGGGGTGATGATGTGACATTTTTGAAAAGCCCCTGTTCTGTCCATCACCCCTTTCAAGACCATTTTCTCATCCTTGCTCACTACAAACTGCACATGGGCTCCTGGACAAGGCCATCCTGACTGTGGTGTCAGTTTCTGCAATAATGTCTACAGCAGCTTCAGGGTTATGGGAGAGCAAGACAGAAGTCACTTCAAGATCCTGAACACCTCTCCACCTTCTCATTGTTAATGATGCTCTGTTGTTAAAAGTGAAAGGAGAGCAGAGGTAACTAGAAGATTCTACATCACACTCTGTTCCATAGCTCTTGGTCGTCAGCACCACGGACAGTGTCTCAGGAATGTTCATTCTGAGGTGCTGCAGCAGGAAGGTGGCAGATGAGAACAGACTGCTGGAAAGATGTCCATGTCTAGTTTACAAGAAAAAGACACAACCAGGAACAACGTTATTGCAGGGAAACTTGATCTGCTCTATTTTATATATCGCAAAATTTTTGCATGCATCTGGATGTTGGGGTTCTTGGCACATCTATTGCCATACCCTGCAGAGCTGAGTGCTGCACCCAGGGTGTGGTCTCTGGGAGGCTGAGAGCCTGCTTTGGCCACATGGTAAGTCTCCCTGACCCTGACAATCAGGCCATTTTCTCTGCCTACAGAAGGTGGGAACTTTTCATGGTTAATTTTTGACCCCCGTGCCTGACCCTGGAACCACACACATCACGCTGCCTGGAGCATGCCCTGAGCACAGCATCCTGCTCCTCCAGCCCCAGCTGAGCCCCTGAGAAGCTGAGCTGACCAAGCCCATGGGCTTCTGTACCAGATCCTCCAAGCCAAGCCTTGTCACCCCCATCTTGCTAATTCCTGCCCACGTCACACCCACAGAGAAGACTCTGGTCCTACAGACCAGCGCTGCCCTTACAGAGACTCAGGTCCAGCCTATCCAGTGTCCCTGCTGGGCACACACAGCACTCAGGATGCCCAATTTAAGGGTCATCTGTGGGCTCGGGGGTGGGGAGGTCCTGTAACTTGCATGGGTCAGAGCCCTCCTCACATCCTACATTTCAGCAGTCACCAGGGTCCTCTCTGCCCTGTCCTCACCTTCAATGTCTCAATGACTCACTCAATGTCCTGGGTCATCCTTGTCATCTCTCCTGGACATAGCCACAGCTCCTGACAGGAGGGGTTGAGGCTCTGTCTCTCCATCAGTCCCTCCCACTCTGACCACATGAACCTGGTCAGCCCCATCTGAGCCTCATCCCCTCACCAGGGGCCCTGTGCTCTGGATCCCTGGATACCTGGGTCCTTGTCATGCAAACTTGACAACAGTAATAACCACCAGGCCCTGGCATCCTCACGCAAAGCACATGTCTAATGAGAGACAACTGGCTCCACACACCTTGAGGCTTCACTGCTCAGGGGCATCCTCATCCCTCTCCTCCCACCCCTAGAGATGGTAAGCACCACCAGCCCCTTCCCCCAGACCACAGCCTCAGATCTATTCTGACCCTCTATACAGAGAGGCTCTAGGGAACAGCAGGCACTATGAAATCCCACCGACCCAGGTGCCACCCGCGGCCTCACCCCTCCTCATATCTATGATGGGGACAGACACACATAACACACCTCTGCTCACTGCCCAGTCCCCAAGGTCAATCGCAGTCTGCTTCTCCCCTAGATCCACTGCTCCCCATGTCTTCCCTCCCCAGCTGCAGCCTGGGTGGACTCCCTGCTTTTCTCAGTCCATGAAGGCAGGTTCCAACCTTTGTGTTGTTGCCTGCAATGCCCTCCCTTCTCTTCCCTTCCCTATGAGCGCACACCTGCCCATCCCCCTACCTTCTGGCCAAAGTCATCAGCCACCTGCTCCCCTCAGTCTTCCCCAACCCTGCCCATGGAGGTGACGGTTCCTCCTAGAACACCCACCACTCACTCTTGGCTTTGGGTGGTAATCACAGGTTCTGCAGGGGTCACCTGTGCTCAGGTGTGTCACCTGTGGAACCAAAACTTCTGAGCAGAGGGAGCTGCTCAGGACATCTTAGGGGCCCTGACCTCTGGTCTACCACAGGAACTCAATGCGATCTTGGTGGGACTGTGGTTTAGTCCCTATAGCAACCTTGACCTCATCATGTTTAATGTGCACATGCTCCGACCAGTATCCCACTTCTAAGAGCCTCCCTGAGCTGTGAGCTCTGTGAAGGCAAGACTGTGCCTGTCCTCTCTCTGCTGAAGACAGTGACCAGCCCACAGCCTGGCACAGGATGCTTCATAAACATGCGTTGACTGAATGAGCTCCTGGATCAATACTCCACATGGGGAAAAGACATGTGTATGAAACACTGCAGAATGTCTCGTCATTATGAAAACTGGGAAACAGCCCAGTAACTTAAAAAAAAGATTGAGATGAAGGTCACAGAAAATACCATATGTTTAGGAAACAAATAATAGCAATTCGGGTCCACTGAATCAGGGCAGCCCTGACTAGTGTTCTGTAAGACAAGCACAGGAGAGGGTTTTCTTTACAGGTAATTTCCACAAAAAGTTGTTTTCAGAAGCAGCTCATTGGCTGAGAAGGAATCCTAAATCACAAGTCCATTCCATTCTATGTGCTTAGTTAATTTTAGGGTTCTCCTAGTTGAGATGTTGAAGGCTGGTGAATACTGACTTCAGCTGTTTATCCAAATCTATTGGAACATTCTGTGGTTTGAGCTCTTGCTGGTGAAAGTGCAATTGTCTTGCAATCTCCTGACTCCACTTTAGAAAGCTTTAGCCTTTGTTACTTCATTTTCTGTCACAAGATTCCAACCCAGGAACAGGGGTGTGGACAAAGCATTGAGTGTAGCCATGCAATGAGAAAAAGGGGAGCCAATAACAAACACAAGATAAAATCCATATGTATTGATATAAGAGGTGCCCACCACACATGATTCAGTAGAACAGAATGGTCTGGGCAGGTGTGGTGGCTCATGCCTGTAATCCCAGCATTTTGGGAGGCCAAGGAGGGTGGATCATGAGGTCAGGAGTTCGAGACCAGCCTGACCAACATGGTGAAACCCTGTCTTTACTAAAAATACAAAAATTAGCCAGGTGTGGTGGTGTGCACCTGTAATCCCAGAAACTCAGGAGGCTGAGGCAGGAGAATCACTTGAACCCAGGAGGCAGAGGTTGCAGTGAGCCGAGATCACACCATTGCACTCCAGCCTGGGCAACAGAGCAAGAATCCATCTCAAAAAAAAAAAAAAAAAAAAGAATGGTCTTCAGCAATAATATAATTCAATGGGTATTTTGGCGTAAAACGACAAGTGAGATAAACAGAGTATTATTAAAGAGAGATTCACACCAACTGCAAACAGTGGTAACATCCTGGAAATTTAATTGGGGAAGGGGTGGGGTCAAGGATAAGACACCTTATTTTACGCATGATTAGATTCCTGGGATTTACAATAAATATGATGACTTACATCATTTTTAAAGTAACAGAAGAAACCATTTGAAAAGACTCAGGAGGTGTGTAAGGTCCTTTGGGTCTAGAGCCCAGGCCTCCCTCTATCCCCCACACTTCTGCGTCTCTATCCCCCACACTCTGAGATGGCCCTTTGAAGTCTCCCCATCTCACCCCTCAGAGACAGAGGCATGGAGATCCCTAGGGGGAGGGACCTTGCTGCAGCTCCCAAAGCTGGGGGCAGGGGGCAGAGTGAGGTTCTGTCCAGCCCAACATGCACTGAGTGGGCACCTACTGTGCGCTCCTTCTGGCCAGTGGGATGGTCCCTGGCCTGCAGAGTTTCACCACTCAGTGGATGCTGGGAATGGGACAAAAAAGACCAAACCACCCTGTAGGTCCAGGGATGGCTGGCCTCCCTCAGCAGGGCCCACAGCCCCCCATGGTTCACCCTCACCAAGGTCACCTCAACCCACCTCCTCCTCACCCTCCAAGCTCTGCACACGAACTCTGTCACCTCTTCCCTGCAGCCAGGTGGCCGCCCACCTGAGGCCACTCCCTCTGCAGGCAGCTCCTGCCCCCACACCCCCTCCTTCCCAGGGCTCAGTCAAAAGGGCATCTCCCAAGGCACAGCAACTCAGCCCGTCACAGGCTCTGGTGTCCCCAGTGCTGTCCCCTCACAGCCCTTCTCTCATTATCATTAACTCCTCAATCGCATGAAGTTCACTGAGTGCCTGTTTCCCTGTCACATGAGGTCAGGAGTTCTATACAAGCCTGGACAATATGGTGAAATCCCGTTTCTACTAAAAATACAAAAATTAGCTGGGTGTGGTGGCATGCACCTGTAGTCCCAGGTACTCAGGAGGCTGAGGCAGAAGAATTGCTTGAACCCAGGAGGCAGAGGTTAGTGAGCCGAGATCGTGCCACTACACTCCAGCCTGGGCAACAGAGCGAGACTCCACCTCAAAAAAAAAAAATCCAATTCCAAACACTAATAAAAAATATGGACTTTGGCATGAACCCATGGTAGGGGAATGGGGAGACCAAAAATCCCCTGACTGGGAAAGTGATAGGCTAGTACACTGCTGTCCAATAAAAAGAAAACCCAGGACACCCTCACTGTTTTGTGTTGATCTTTTTTCTTAGGTCTCATCATAACCGTTTTATGAATGTGGGAGCTCCAAAGTTAGGTGCATATATATTTAGGATTGTAATATCTTCTTGTTTGATTGATCCTTTTATCATTATATAGTTGCCTTATTTGTCTTTTTCTTACTGTTGTTGCTTAAAGTCTGTTTTATATGATATAAGGATAGCTATTCCTTCTCACTTATGGTTTCCATTTGCATGGAATATCTTTTATCATCTCTTTACCTTGAGTCTATAAGAATCCTTACATGTTAAGTGAGTCTCTTGAAGACAGCTGATATTTGGTTTGTGATTTTTTATTTATCTTGCCAATCTGTGTCTTTTAAGTGGAGTGTTAGGTCATTTACATTCAATGTTAATATTTGTTCCAGTCATCATGTTGATCGTTATCTACTTTGTTTTCTTATTGTGTTATTGTTTTATAGGCCATTTGAATTTTTTGGTTTCAAGAGGTTCTATTCTGTTCTATTTAAATCTTTTGTTTTGTGATTTAGAAGTCCCTTTAACATTCCATGTAGGATGGTCTAGCCGTGACAAATCCTGAAGCATTTGCTTGCCTGAAAAAGACTGTATTTCTCTCTTTCATTTTGAAATATAATTTCACTCTACACAAGATTCTTGGCTGAGAGCTATTCTGTTTAAGAAGCCAAAAGATTAGGACCCCAATACCTTCTGGTTTGTAAGGTTTCTGATGAGAAATCTGGTGTTAGACTGATAGGTTTTCCTTTATAAGTTAATTGATGCTTTTGTCTCACTGCTCTTAGAATTCTTGCCTTCACATTGACTTTAGATAACCTATGACTATATGACTTGGTTATATCCTTTTTGGCAGTGAATCTCCTGGATCACTTGAGCCCAGGAGTTCAAGACCAGCCCTGGGTAAGATGGCAAAACCCCATCTCTACTAAAAATACAAAAAATTAGCCTGGCCTGGTGGCACACGCCTTTAGTCCTAGCTACTTGGAAGGCTAATGTGGGAGAATCATCTGAGCCCAGGAAGTTGAGGCTGCAGTGAGCCATGACTGTGCCACTTCACTCCAGCATGGGTGATGAGAGTAAGAGCCTGTCTCAAAAAAAAACTAGCTAGCATTTTAGAAAATTTTTCATTTATATTCTGATTGTTTTTTACATTTCTTTATGTTGGTTTTCACCCTTCTCTTGTATCTCTTTGAGTAGCTTAATAATCAAACCTTGTAGGCATGCATTATTCTTTTAATTCTTTTTTCTTTTGTCTCTCTGACTCTGAGTTTTCATATATTATCTCTTCAAGCTCACAAATTCTTTCTTCTGCTTGATCAATTCTGCTGTTGAAAGATTTAGTGCATTCTTCGGTTTGTCAATTGAATTTTTCAGCTACAGAATTTCTGCCTGATTTTTAAAAATTATTTCAGTCTATTAAATTTATCTGATAGGATTCTGAATTCCTTCTCTGTGTTACCTTGAATTTCACTGAACCTCTTCAAATAGCTATTTTTATATGCTAGTTTTGAAGAGGGTCTCAGGGATGAGAGTGGGTTTGTGTGTTATTTTATTTACCCCTCTCAACCGCCATCTAAGTTTATTTCAGAGGAGGATGCTTATCCTCAGAAAGATGAATCAACTTGCCAATGTTGGTGGTGGATCTGGGATTAGAAGTTACATGAGTCTAACATCAGAGGCCATGCCATCATCACTACCACTGAGAGAGAAGTGAACACAGTTTGTTAGGGAGCAGGAAGGAGCAAGGAGGGCTATGGCAGCAAGAGACAATTTTAAAACAGGGAAGTTAGGTAAGGTTACTAAAGAGATACCATATGTTATAAAGCCATGAACACTAGACAGAGATATTCGAACTTGATCTTGTGATTACAAAAGAGCCACTGAAGATTTTAAGTAAGGGCAAAACTATTCGAAGTCACAGCATGAGCCAAGACCAAAGAGGGTAGTGAAATTGGGGCTCTGGATTCCTAAACTAAAGAGATGCTGCCACAACTGTCGTTCACAACAGTGAACAAACCGTGTGATGTGTGGAGTGAGAACTGGACAAAGGCTGAAGCCCTGGGTTTAAATGCAAGAAGTCAGGCACTTAGGGAATGGCTTTGTTAGGCAAGCTGTATATGCTCTCTCTGGACCTTGGTTTGTTTTCATCCATAAATTAGATGCAGTGAGAATTAACCTCTAAATGATCTTCGAGCCTTGCTACTCAAAGTGTGGTCCGCCAACCAGCAGCAATGGCATCATCCAAAAGCTCCTTAGACATGCACAATCTCAGGCCTCACCAGAAAAATCAGAATCTGTATTGAATAAAAAGATCTGTGTGGGATCTGTGAACACATTAAGGTTTGCGAAACACTTCTCTCCATTGTCTTCCATTTCTAAAAGGCAATTATTCCATGCTCACCTCCACTCTGTTACTTCACAGGAGAAACAAGAAAAAAAAAATTATCTGTTCACCTCATTAGTGCCCTTTTCTTAGTCATGACATCCTCTTAGACTGGCTCAGTTCCAGGAAGAGGTTTTAGAAAATACCAGAGAGGCAGTGCTGCCACCCTGTGACCATCGTCAGTAAATGCGCTTAACTCTGACCAGTGTCAACAGCAAAGGAGAGGGACTGCAGATGGAGGTGAAGTCCAAGTCGCAGACTAGATGAGAGAATCACAGCCACCCACAATTACTTAAACAGAGGGACCTCAACCTGCATCATAGAGCAATGTCCTATTGCAAAGGACAGTTTTTATAATACTTAATATGTGGTATTAGTAAGAAACCTGGTTCCAAGCCAAGCTCTGCCCTTGTAACCATAAAAGTGACCCTGACAGGTATTTTCAGACACCCAGCCCTGGCCTGAACTCTGCCAGTAAACATGTAATTTCCCAAAAGACCTTATGTTACTGTGACAGTTCTTTTCCATCCTGAGCCAAAATATACCTGATACACACTCACCAATCCCTGTCCTACTCCCCATAAGCTGAAATAAGCCTAACACCTTTTCATACAACCTACCTTCAAATATTGGTTAAAAAAAACCATGTGCCGCCCACCCCACCTTCCCTTGGCCATTTCCCACATGGGGTCACCTGAAGCCCCACACCCTCTGATCACTTTCCCATGGGGAAGCAAAGTGCAGCAACCACAGCAGGCACTGTGAAACCTAGGGGTGTCCCCCAGGGCAGCAGAGCCACAGGACCCCCATCCCCATCCTGGCACCTCACCCCTATCTAGAATCCGAACACCACATCAGCTGATCTGGGGACGCTGACTTTTCCTGCTTCTGCTGCTGCTCAGTCATCCCACACCTGTGCAGATGTCTACTTTTTATTCCATTTTATTTTGTAAGAAATATTTATCAGAGCCTGCTGTGTACTGTCACTGGAGAGACAAAGATGAATCACACCTGGTCCCTGCCTCGCAGAACTCCAGGCTGTAGAGGGAACACACTCAAAGCCAGACTATTACCGTTCAGTGAGAAACACCGTGACAGACATCAGCACAGGGTTTTCTGATGCATGTTACCAGTGCTTTGTGAAAAATCTTCCACTCTTGGTTTTCTGCACTTAGTTTTCCTCATTTCAAGCTCTAAGTGAAAAAGAGAATACAAATATCCCCAATGGTCCTTTGTGCGGTCACAGCTGGACCCGGCATGTCCTCTTGGCTAATCCAGGGTGTTCAGGGCTCCCACTTCACTCTGAGTGTCCTCTCTCCTATTGGAGCTCACCATTGTCAGCACCTGCAGCAGAAAATCTAGCAAGTCAGGAAACTTGCTTTACTCCTGTAACTTTAAGGCTAGTGACCTTGTGACAGTGAACTAATCCTATAAATCCTTTTCACTTTAATTTCCACATCTGTAAAGTGGGGCAGGTGGATTCAGTCACCCTAGAGACAGCAGCACACCTGATCTTCTCAGCATCCACCATCTAGCAAATATCAGGCACACATTAGGCACTCAAAGCCTCACTGAATGTATGTGTGAATAAATGACTATAATAGAGCCATGTGGATCGTGGACACTATCAACACATATCTTTGAATGTCTATGAAGTACACTTGAGAATGGGGAAAGCAAATAATTGAGGCAGGACAGTGTTTTCTTCTTCCTTCCCCTTACCTCCTTCCTGAAGAGAGCCTTTGTACCTCGGAGAGACTCTGTTGCCAGGTTTCTCTACTGTAAGTTACTATTTGTCCCATTATAATCAATAAGTATCTCCTGAAGTGATACTTTGGGAATATGGAAGTAGCCTGTTTCTTCTCAACATACTTTTTTTTCCCCCTTGGTACTCACTAGTTGTAGCATCATCATACTTTTACCCATTCATATTTAAAGTCCATTGATAATTCTTGCCTACAAACAATTGACTGTGCTGTTAGCCAAATAGTGATTTTCTATTTGATCATTCCTTCTACATTCATTAATTGGAATCCTGCTGTAAGAAAAAGCTGTTTCTTCATCCTTATATATTTATGTATTCAATTATTTATTTATATTAGTAGGAACTCATGGGTATTTATGGGTTGGAATTTATTACTATCATTATTTCTTATAGTGCTCATTTTGTCTCAAAATTGGTCATTCAAAGCTCCTTCTGGTTGGCATCTGTGACCTTTCGACAGATCTCCATTATTTTTCAGCCGGCTCCTTACTTTCTGGCCTCACGAGATGCTCCAGGCTCCGCTTGTGCTTTCCGGCCCCAGCCCTGGAATCAGTTATTTCTCCCAGGAAGCCCTGGTTCCTTTCATGGGAGAATGATGTTTACGACCACGAGCACTACTACACCCATTGCTGTAATAGTAAGTGCCGGTGCCTTCACGCCCTCTAGTGGTCAGTCCTGGGAAATACACACTCACACTTGTGTACTGTTACCCATATTCTACAAATTAGGTAAATGAGGCACAGAAAAGTTAGGCGACTTGACCAACATCACGAGAAAATAGGTAGTGAAACTGCGAGACAGATACACAAGTCCTAATAAGTGGAAGTAGCTTCTTCACACATGCACATCAGCAGAAAGCCACAAGCCCAATATTCCAGCGTAGACACTCTCTTGGGAAAAAATCCAGAATTCCAAAGTATTAACCCTAATGACAACCATCATGTACTGACTACCTGCCTGGGCACTGGGCTCCCACAGTAACACATTTATTCCTAAATATATGTAAATATATAAAACTAATAACTTTATCTTAAATAAATATCCATTTTATATATTATTATATAAAATTTATTATAGAAAACTTTATATAATTATATAAAATATATAGGCCAGGCATGGTGGCTCATGCCTGTAATCCCAGCACTTTGGGAGGCCGAGGCAGCATATCACCTGAAGTCAGGTGTTTGAGACCAGCCTGGCCAACATGGCGAAACCCCATCTCTACTAAAAAAGTACAAAAATTAGCTGGGCGTGGCGGCAGGCGCCTGTAATCCCAGCTACTCGGGAGGCTGAGGTAGGAGAATCGTTTGAACCCAGAAGGCGGAGGCTGCAGTGAGCTGAGATCGTGCCACTGCACTCCAGCCTGGGAGACAGAGCCAGACTCCATCTCAAAAAAGAAAAACTATTATATATACATTTATATATATAATTTATTATATAAAAATGTATTGTATATAAATTTATATTAAATACAATTTAATATGATGATTAAAAGTTATATGTTTATTTTAATACATGTTAGAAGAAAATTTAAGCATATCTCAAACCTGTAATTTTATGGATAATATTGCATAGGACAAAGATGTTTTGTCTCAAATTCCCGTCCTCAAGCAATCCACCCACCTCAACCTCTCAAGCAGCTGAGATCACAGACGTGAGCCCCTGCACCCTACTAGGACAAGGATGTTTTGTAAAGTAAATTTATTTAGGAAAAAGCATAAAGCAAATAATAATAACAGTGGTACAAGCTGTAGAGAAAAATCATAAAATGTCTACAAATGTCTGAGGTTTGCATTTTAGTTACTCCTAGGAAATTAGGGTCACATAGCACTGCAGAAAAAAACAACTGAAAATCGTAGACCTGGGCTTTAGCTCTAGATTTGTCCATTTCTAGGACCCCACTCCCTGGACATCTCTGTGACCTCCCTGCTGGGAGTAAATCCAACCTTCCCAGACATTAGAAAACATGAGGAAAACCTTGCATACCCAGAGGGGTTTCTGTGTCATAGAGAAAATAACACTGAGTTTGGGGGTCCCAGGGACTCTCTGTGAGGTGCTGACAGAGCCAATCCCTAGACACAGCAGAGGTCACTTATGGGGAGCACAGGTCATCCTGTTAAGGGATGGGGGTCCCAATAAGCCTTGCTTCTCACAGCGTGGTCTAAGGAACTGAAATGTAGATTGGAGAAAAAGAGGAAAAGAAGACAAGGAGGCAGGACTGAGAGGGGAGGAGGCGGAAAGGCTACCTGTGCAGATCCTCATTGCCACTTACCTTTCCCCGCCCCCACCCCTGGCCCTGGGAAGTGCTTCTGCCCTGGGAGGAGGCTTAGCACAGAGAGAGGAAGGACAGCAGAGCTGACAGTCACAGTAGCTCTGACAAGAGCATTTAATTTATATTAAATACAATTTAATATAACTATTAAAAGTTATATGTTTATTTTAATGCATGTTAGAAGAAAATTTAAGCATATCTCAAACCTGTAATTTTATGGATAATATTGCATAGGACAAAGATGTTGGCATCTGTGACCTTTCGACACATCCCCATTATTTCTCAGCCTGTTCCTTACTTTCTGGCCTCCTTATTTTCTGAAGCCCAAGCTCCTCTCCACAGAGGAGGACAAAGCAGACAGCAGAGCCCATGGGGCCTCCCTCAGCCCCTCCTCACAGAGTGCACATCCCTGGCAGGCGCTTCTGCTCACAGGTGAGGGGAGGGCTCCCTGGGAGTGGATGGGAGGAGGGAGCACAGAGACTGGCTGGGGTTTCTTGGAGAGAACGGGGACCTGAGAGGGACAGAGGGCTTCTGTTGGACACTAAACAGGAAGAAGGGATTACAACAGGAAAATCTAAATAATCTGAGGTTGTTAGTGAAGAAACAATCTCGATTGTTAATGTTTTCCAAGTGAATCATCACTGAGCAGTTAATGTTGAAAACAGATGACAATAATCACAATTTAAGTTGGGGTAATACTCAAGAAAAAAAACAAGGGACACTAAACAGAGCTCTGTGGCAGCACTCCTCATATAGGGGCACCAGCTGTGGGGGACGGGTGAATAGTGTACACTGACACACACATATTTTGCTTTGCCAGTCCAGCTGAGTCTGTCAGGGCCGCTTACAGACTCCCTGCTGAGTCCTATAAACAGTTGTGACCATGGCCTTGATCAGCTAGTGAGACTCATATTTATTCAGTAAGATTAATTAACAAAGGCTTGAGTCAACACCGTTAGAGGGTAATTGACATTGTGGACTTCCCAAGTAGAAAGCAATTAAGCACCTGTGGCACATCAATGGTTAGTCTTAAGATCACATGAGTAAACAAGCTGGCTAGACAAACTACTCTGCCTTCCTTTGTTACTACTTTAATTTGTTTAACTAAAGGTAAAGGGACCACCTTCAGTCAGATCTATTACCAAAGTTATGCAAAGTTTTTGGTCTTCCAAGAAGATTTGTGTCTATCTCTATAACTATCTCTAATATTTTTCCCACCAGCCTGATTGAACTCCAACAGAGCTCTTAGCCAACAACCTCAGCCATTGGAAAATAAATCCCACGTTGTGAAGGGCCCTGGGAACACTCATGAGCTCATCCACAGGAGTCCGCAGCCTGTCCCAGGCACTGGGGTGCAACCAAGATCACACAAGTCCCTGTTCTCACAGAGCTCATGCTCTCATAGGGAGGAAGACAGACATGCAAGGGTATCTAGAATGTGAGGTCAAGTATTGACAAGAGCCCTGGAGGGAACACAGCAGCGAAATGTCAGAAAGGGAAGACCCAGGGTCTCTAGAGGTGTCAGGGAAGGGGTCTCCCAAGGATGCCCTAATGTGAGCAGGACCTGAAGGCAGTAGGGAGGGAGCCAGGCAGACCCCTGGGGAAAAGGACTCCAAACAGGGAAATGCCAAGGTCAGAGGCACTGAAGGAAGGGAGGTCATGCTGCTGACCTTGGCCCAGTAGGACACGCACGCGCGCGCGCGCGCGCACACACACACACACACACACACACACACACACACACACACTCCAAGGCTGAGGGATGAAGAGACCTGTCCAGGACCTAGGGCCCCATCTTTCCACCTCAATGCATAGGGCCCAGTATTAACTGATGCTCTCTCCCCACTCCTAGCCTCACTTTTAACTTTCTGGAACTTGCCTACCACTGCCCAAGTCACTGTTGAAGCTGCAGAAGGCAAGGAGATTCTTCCACTCACCCACAATCTGCCTTAGGCTTGGCTACAACTGGTACAAAGGGGAATTACAGGATATGTACTAGGAACTCAAGTAATTACCCCAGGACCTGCCACAGAGGCTGAGAGACAATATACCCCAATACATGTCTGCTGATACAGAATGTCACCAACAATGACACAGGATCCTACACCCTACAAGTCATAAAAACAGATCTTGTGAATGAAGAAGTAACTGGCCAGTTTCACGTACACAGTGATGTCTCATGAGCTCTGGGTGTTGGGGGTCAGTTCTGCTTCACACACACAGGATTTTCAGGCCTGGGCTGTGCCTGTGTCCCCCTCTACATTACATCCCATTTGGGGGTTTGGACATTTAGTGCAAGACACACACAGGGGAGACAAACTTCCACAGATCAGAATTTCTTTCCTGCATCCAGACCCTGCAGGCACTTGCTACAGAGGAAGGACAGTCTGATGGGGTTGGGGGGAGGCTCAGTAAGGGGAGGTCAGTGTCAGTTCCCCCTCCTGGGTCCCCTCCCCATGGACGTTCCTTGTAGGACCATGTCAGATCCTGGAGTGAGGGGACCCCTGGGAAGCCCCTGTTCAGAAACTCAGCCCTGGAAACCCCTGTCCAGTCCCCTGTCCCAGGATCCTGACTCCATGTGACCCTGGGAAGCCTGTGCCGGGGCTGGGTTGAGGCATCTTGGGCAGGGCTGACTGGGAACAAGGATTTACCAGCTGTCCAAGGGCCATGGCTCTTGCAGCTGGTAGCCAGCCAGGGCTCAGCCCCCAGAGCCTCATCTGGGCAAGGGCAAAGCCTCGTCCTTCACATGAGACTTGGTATGGAGAAGACAGGTAAGCTCCCTAGGACATTAGCCGACTGCCCTGGGGAACTTAGGAGACTCCAAGGGAAGGTCAGCATCCCCAGGGGAGGAATAGAGAAGAGAGGATGTTCCCAGCAGCTCATTGTCCACCAGAGATCAGGCCCAGGGAACACTCTGTTGGAGGCAAATAATCAGAGACGGTGTATTCAGGCGGTTCCTTGGTACCAACCTTTAGGTCAGGTGATCGTGAATATTTTAAAAGTAATTCACAGACAACATGGCAAGCCACTGACCATTTATCATTGTTGGCAGAAAAATCGGAGATCTGTACGTTTGGAAAGGAGACTTTATTTCATATATTTTTCATTTTATTTTTCTATTTTTATTTTTTTTTAGAGACCGGTTCTTGCTCTGTCTCCCAGGTTTGAGTGAAGTGGCTACTCACAGGTGGGACCATAATTCACTGCAGCCTCAATCCCCCGAGCTCAAGCACTCCTCACACCTCAGTCTCGAGTAGCTGGAACTATAGGCATGCACCACTGCACCCAGATAGTTTTTAAAACAAACTTTTATCTTAGGTTCAAAGATACGCATGCAGGTTTGTTATATATGTAATCAGGGGTTTGGTATACAGATTATTTCATGATCCAAGTACTAAGCATAATAGCCAATAGGTATTTTTTCTGATCCTCACTCTCCTCCCTAAAATTTTTTTAAGAGACAGGATCTTGCTATGCTGCCCAGGCTAGTCTCTGGCTCCTGAGCTCAAACTATTCTACCACTTCAACCTCCCAAACCACTGGGATTACAGGTGTGAGCCACTGCACCCAACCAGGTTATTTCTTACACAGGGTTACAGCCTGCAGGCTGGCCATTCCCCAGGGTAGAAGATGCAGCCTCCAGCAGAGACCAATAGCAGGCACTTCAAGGGAGGGGAATGTGGAAGATAGATTTATGCTGAATGAGTTGGCCAGGTATACATATTCAACAGGTTATAGGTGGAGCTATGGATACTCACAAAGGAAGTACACGCACATGCGTGATCAACAAACATGCATGCTACATGCACCCCATGTTCACTTTGGGGTGGAGAATTCAGATTTAAATGTATTAAGTTAGGTCTTATACATCAAAAGATGAAACAAGCATTATGGTACTCAGTGCACCGTGTCTGTATACCAGCAGAACCAGGCCATGCTCAGTGGTCTCTTATTAGGAGAAAGTTACTGAAATCAGTCTCCTGTCCAATTGAAGTGTAGTTGTGGCTGTTGGAACAGGGGTCAGTTAGCCAGTGTTGGTGGATGAGCCGCGATCATTTCAATATTGCTTATCTCGAAGGCTAGTGTTACTTTAGCCGCTAGAGAGAAAGAAAATTCTGTGTTAGAACATAGCTTATTCTTTAAATGTAGGAAAGTGTGGCTTAGCCCTTGCCTGCATGACCTTAGGTTGAGTTTATAATTTGGTATCTTATGGCCACAGAGAGTCTGTTCTGTCAGTCTCATGATCTCGATTTTAGCGTTAATGCTAGTCAGTTGTCACCTCTAAACTTCCAAAGGGAGGGGCTGTAATGAGGTGTAACCTCCCATCCTGTCATGATCAGGAACTCTGGGATCCGCTTGGCCAAGAGGCCATCCTTTCAGTTCACTGGGGAATTAGAATTTTATTTTTAGTTCTCATTGTGTGTCCTATTTTACTGAGGGGAAACTGAGGCATATGAAGATACAGCCACTGGCCAGGGTACACAGACTACAGATGGCAGAGTCACTCGAGGTCACTCCCTCCCTCCTTCATGAGAGAACTACTGAGCGAGTGTGTGTCTCATATTGGGCCCTGTCTTGTGCAGGGTGTGAGTGGGGAGAGAAAGCAAAGTTCTCTCCTTTATCCTCTCATAGGAGTGACACCAACACATCGGGAAACACAGGATTTCAGGTCCAGTGAAGTGGGTATAGATCTAAGAGAGGAGGCCTGGACATTCCCAACATGGATCTGATGGTTGAGGCAGGTGATAGCGTTCTAAGTAAAATCTGATTAATTCTTCATTTGTTCCTCACTCCCCAGACCACTGAGGCGTGGTATTCTCCCCACCGAGCTGTGAAACCCTAAGAAGAAGGGAGCTGAACCAGTGATTGTGAAACAGCATCATTCATCTGGGGTAATACTCGAGGTTCATTGTCCCATGGCCATGGAAAACTAGGATGCAGGCACCCAGAGTGAAGTTAAGAGTGGAAGTTTCATAGGGGAAAGAAAGAGAAGAGCTCTCTGCACAGAGAGAGGGGTCCTGGGGAAAATGGGTTGCCACTTCCATAGTGAAATGCAGAAGGTTTTATAGATGAGCTTCAGGAGGCAGTGTCTGATTTATACAGGGGGTGAAAGATTGTTTAGACCAGCTGTGCCATTTGCTGGCTGCCCCACTCTGATCTTTTGTCATGCAGATGGATTGTCTACCTGGCCGGTGCCATGTTGCCTGGTTTTTTACTGTACATGTGGTAATGGAGAAAAGGGAGGATGGAGTCTCCATGTTGAACATACCTGGCTTCCAGGCAGCCCTTTTCTATTGGCACACCTACTGGAATTCACCTGTGCAAGCTTCCATCTTGCTCATCTACATCTGTAGCTCAATTTTTCAGGCTGCTCTTTGTTAGAAAAGGAATTATCTTGGGCTGCTTTTTGTTAAAGGGGAAACCTTGCCAAGGACGCTCTTACCCTCACTAACTTCCTAAATAATTTCTTTCTAGCTCCTGTGTCAGTTGGTCTGGGGTCCACAGATACCTTAAGGACCCAGGGATGGAGGAGAAGACGTGCCCTCAGCCCACTTTCAGTTGAGCACCTCCACTGATTGTCCACAGGGTCAGTGGCTCCGACCCCATCTGAGTCAGCAACACCAGAGTCACAGAAGAAAAGGATGTTGTGATCCTGACCTGCCCCACAGATGACTCTGGAACCTTATCCAGTGGATCTTCCATGACCAGCGTCTGTGACTCATGGAGAGAATGGAGCTGTCCCAGGGCCACTGTATGCTCAGCATAAACCCCATCAGGAGAGAGGATGCTGGGGAGTATCAGTGTGAGGCCTCCACCCAGGTCAGCTCCAGGAAAAATGACCCTCTCAGACTGACTGTGAAACAGGAAACATCTGAGTCCCCTCTTAGAAGTTATTAAACCCTAAATCAAATATTCTTTGTTTGGAGGCATTTTATTATAAAAACTTGATATTCATATACATAAACTAATATGAAGTTAAAAATTCATTATACACCTACTGTTTTTAGCTTGATCTTGCAGTAAATCTTTAGCTTCATTGATTGTGGCTACTATATAAGGAGACCCTCTTTTGTCTGCGTGATTTAAGAGCATAACATGTTAATGAGCATCTCTTATTTTTTTCTTTATTGGCAGTAGGGCTTACCCTACTATTACTAGTGTTCATTCATTATCTAGTATTAATGCTGCTTCCCGTTTTGTCATTTTGGGTTCATATCCACCTCTGTAGTAATAATCTCTGAAGGCAGATTTTGGTAGACTTTGAAACACTTGTTCTACTTGAGGTTTTATGTGCTTCATGGCTTCGCAAAATGTAACAGCTTGCAAATCCTGCAGCAGCGGTCAGTTCAGCTGCTACCACTGCACAGGCCATGGCTCCAGCTTGGCTCCCCTGCCACCACCAGGAGGGTGGATCATCCCAGCCCAGAGGCCGCACCCACCACCTACTTGGCTTTACCAGAGAGCAATGCAGCAGCCACCACAGTAGTCACAAACTGCCCAAGCACCTTTTTCCTCTTTAAAGTGGTGGTGATGATGCATTTACTTTATCGAGCTATTGTGAATAGTCAATGAAATCAGGTGACTTGCATTGAATCAATAAAAATGAAACACCTTGGAATGACATTGTCATTGTTGGCTTAAGGTCCCATTCAGTACCAGATTTTACTGTTTGTTACTGTCAGTTGCACCATCTCCACAGTGGTGGCAACACATGTCCCTCAGAGGATGGACCATGATTGTGTGTGAGGGTGGGAACACATGATCAGCTCTCAGGAGTCAACAGCTCCGTCCCTCCTCCAGCAGGAGGTGTGGATGGTGCCTGCACTCTGACATGGGCAAAGAGAATCAACGGGAGGGTGCCATGCAGAGAGGACACCCCAAATGAAATGCACTTCACACAATGCATCTGCCCATGTGGTCCTGGCCAGGACTGGGGAGGGAAGGGCTTGGAGATCCCAGATTTCAAGCTGAAGCCCTGAGACAAGGTGCAACCGCTGAGAGAAGGAGCACTCTGTGGAGAGATTCCCACCCACATCTACAGTCTCCACCCCATCTTATCCCATAAGGCTGGCATATCCCTGAAGGGCAGTGTGAAGAAGGGACAAGAGTCTTCTCTAGGGAGGACACTCTGGGCCAAGACCAAATGAAAGCTGGGCACTGGCAAGGACAAGATTTCTTCCACCATGAGATTTCACCATTGTCCTGAAGCAATGAACCCAGGCCCTCTTGCTCATGTGAAACACCGCCCGGCCTGAATCATGCTAAGGGTGAACCCAAGGCCCTGGACACCACCACCCTCCAGGCCTGTACCAGCCCCTGCAGGACTCATTCACCTGAACCAGCATCCTCCAGTCCTCAGGCTAAAGGGAGAGGTCTTTACCTCTTTAAGCTACAGGAGATTCCCAGATACCCGTATGTCCCTGGAGAGAGAGTCCACAGGTTGTCCACTTGGACCTGGCATAGATCTTCCTCTCAAACGCCCCAATGCCCAGGTGCTCTTCCTCGAAGATCTTCCTCTCCCTACAGGCTCTAGGAACTGTGAGTCCCTGAACTTTCATTAGAAGGAAGCTTTCCCTTCATCCTCCCTGACCCTGTGAGGGGCAGCTGGGCAAAGTGGACACCAAGATTAATAACTCCAGAGGGAACCCTCCCTGGAGCACAACACCCAGGGCCTATGGGGGTGTTCCCTGGTGGTCCTGGCCAGTGGTGCTGCCCTTCTTTCTACTTCCAAAATCCCAGACCACTGCTGCTCTGACTATGGGCTCCACTCCCTCAACCCATTCTTTTATTAAATGCCTTTTCTGCACCTGCTGGAGTGATTATATGGTTTTTGTTCTTGGTTCTCTTTAATGTGATGGATCACATTTATTGATTTGCATATGTTGAGCCATACTGGCATCCCTGGGATGAATCTCACTTAATCATAGTGAATGATCTCTTTTGATGTGTTGCTAAACATGGTTTGTTAATATTTTATTGAGGACTTTTACATCTATGTTTGTTAGTGATGTTGGCCTATGTTCTTTTTTGGCTTTGTTTTGGTTGGTTGTTTTTGAGAGATGGAGTCCCCCTATGTTGTCCAGACTGGTCTTGAACTCCTGGGCTTAAGCAGTTCTCCCACCTCAGCCTTCCAAAGTGCTGTGATTACAGGCAGGAGCCACCACACCCAGCTTGCTTTTTGTTTTTGAGAGAGCATCTTGCTCTGTTCCCCAGGCTGGAGTACAGTGACACAAACATGGCTCACTGCGGCCTCAACCTCCTGGGCTCAATTGGTCCTCTCACCTCAGCCTCCCGAGTAGCTAGGACTAAAGGCACATGCCACCATGCCTGGCTAATTTTTTTCTTTTTTTTTTTTTTTAAGAGATTGGTTCTGACTATGTTGCCCAGGCTGATCTCAAACTCCTGGCCTCAAGCAATCCTGTAGTGTTTTTTTGTTTGTTTGTTTGTTTGTTTGTTTGTTTTTGTCCTGTCCTTGTCTGGTTTTGGTATCAGGATAATGCTGACCTTGTAGAATGAGTTTGAAAGTGTTCCATCCTCTTCAATTTTTTAAAGCATTTTGAGTAGAATTGGTTTTAGTTCTTATTAAATGTTTGGTAGAATTCAGCAGTGAAGTCATTCGGTCCTGGGTTTTCCTTTTGTTACAGTTTCATGTTGGTTTGTTGGGTTTTTCTGCCTTTTCATGCTTCCATCTTGGTAGGTTGTATGTGTCCAGAAAGTTATTCATTTATTGTAGTTTTATTCCATTGTGGTCAGAACAAATGCTTGATGTGATATAAACTTTTTTGAATTTATTCTGACTGGTTTTGGGACTTAAGATGTGGTCTGTTCTGAAGAATGTTCTATGTGCTGATGAAAATAATGTGAATTCTGTAACAGTTAGATAGTTAGTGAAATGTCCCGTAAATGCCAGTTAGGCCTATTTGATCTAGTGTGTAGTTTAACTTTGAAGTTTCCTTGTTGATTTTCTGTCTGAAAGATCTGGCCATTGCTGAGAGCAGGGTGTTAAAGTCCCCTAATTAATATTGTATTCAGTCTATCTCTCCTTTTAGATCCACTATTGTTTGCTTTAAATACTTGGGAGACTTGGGAGCTCAAGTGTTGGATGCATAGATATTTATAATTGGCATCTCCTCTTGCTGAACTGAGCGCTTTATCATTACATAGTGACTTTCTTTGTCTCTTTTTATAGTCTTTGATTTGTAGTTTATCTTATATCAGTATAGCTACTCCTGCTCTCTTTTGGTTTCCACTTGCATGAAATATCTTTTTCCACCCCCTTCACTTTCAGTCTATTTGTATCTTTTTACATGAAGTGGTTTCTTGTAGGCAGCATATAGGCAGCATTCAGCCACTCTATGCCTTTTAATTGGAGAATAGAGTCCATTTATATTCAGTGTTCAATATTTTTAAGTAAGAACTTACTACTGCCACTTTGTTGCCTGTTTTCTGGTTGTTTTGTAACTCCCCTCTTCCTTTCTTCATTTTTTACTGTCTTCCTTGTGGTTGATTGTCTCTGGTAGTATGTTTTAAGTCATTGTTTTTTATTTTCAGTGGATCTATCATAGATTTTTTGCGTTGCAGTTACCATAAGACTTCCAAAAACATAGATATAACAAAGTATCTTCAAGAGAAGAAAAGGTAACAACTTATCTTAGATCACAAATAAAATAATAGAAACAGAAAACCCCCCAAAAAAACTCTACTCTTTAATTTCATCCTTTGCAAATTTTGACTTTGTCTCTATTTACATATTTTATATTACCTTTCTCCAAACAGGTAGCTATTTTTTTTTAAGACAGAGTCTCCCTCTGTCACCCAGGCTGGAGTGCAGTAGTGCAATCTCAGCTCACTGCAACCTCCACCTCCTGGGTTCAAGCAATTCTCCTGCCTCAGCCTCCCAAATAGCTGAAACGACAGGCATGTGCTACCATACCCTGCAAATTTTTGTATTTTTTGGTAGAGATGGGGTTTCACCATTTTGACCAGGCTGGTCTTGAACTCTTGACCTCAAGGAATCTGCCAACCTTGGCCTCCTAAAATGTATTATTGTTTTTGATAGATTTATATTTTGAGACTCATGCTAGAGTTATGATTGGATTACTTTCCACAATTACTATTTGAGTATTCTGGGTTTGTCTACGTACTTAATTTCACCAGTGGATTTTATACCTTCAAATGTTGTTATTGTTGTTGTGGTTATTTTGCATGTTAGTGTTTTTTTTTTACTTTCACATTGAAGTATTTAGTATTTACCCTTTAGTATTTACAGGAAGACTAGTCTGATGGTGTGAATTATCTCAGCTTTTGTTTGTCTAGGAAACTTTCTCTCTCCTTTATATTGAAGGATAACTTCACTGGATAAAGTATTCTCAAATGTCAATATTTTTTCAGCATTTTGAAAATGTCATGTCACTCCCTCCTGGTCTGTATGATTTCCACTGAAAATCTCTTGCCACAGAATTGGAGCTTCTTTATGCCATTTGCTTCTTTTCTCTTTCTGTTTTAAAATCTTCTCTTTGCCCTTGACTTTTGAGAATTCGATTATTTTATGCCTTGGGGGAGTCTTATTTGGGTTGATTCTTTCCTCTGATCCATTCTGCTGTTGAGAGACTCTAATAAATTTTCCTGTTCAGCAAATATATTTCTCAATTCCAAGATTCCTGTTTGTTTTCTTTAAATTATTTCAATCCCTTCGTTAAATTTCTCTGATAAATTTCTGAACTGCTTTTCCATGTTTTCTTGAAGATCATTGAGTTTCCTTAAAACTGCAGTTTTGAATTCTTGATTAGAGAGCTCACACATCACCATCTCATCAGGATCAGTCACTTGTTCCTCACTTTGTCCATGTGGGGAGATCATGGTTACCTGCTTACTGTTTCTTGTGGATGTAAGTCCAGGTCTTTACATTGAAGGATTCATTATTTATTTTAGTCTTTGTCTGGCTTGTTTTGATTTTTATTGGATAGATTTTCTTAGAGTTCTTTACTGCTAGGTCACTACCTCCTTTTCATCTCTAAGTTACCTTTAGGGTTTACCTTGGCCCTAGTAAATGATCAGAGTGTGCCCTTCCTAACTGAGGGAGGTCCCAAAGGGGATATCCTGGCAGTGTGGGAAAGCTGGCTAGATGTCCATGCCCAGGATACCTGTGAAACAAACCTACTACAACATGGAGCTGCTGAAACACCAGTCTGATTTCATGTCTCCCTTGGCTGAGTTACACAGCAGAGTTTCCAGGGAAGGAGATGGTAGTCCTGCCTCCCCACTCTTTGACTGTCCTCAGGGAAATTTCTCCCTTCGGGCACTCACAATGCTTCTTGTGGGTTAAGGCAGGGACAGGGAACCCAAGATTGTGCAGAAACTGGTTGCCCGCATTGATCTTACATTTCCCAGTGTAGAAACCATGAGTTGGGGTAAAATTTTCCACACACCTGGTACCAGGCAGAATGGGGCAGGGAGGGACATTACAGATGGGGAAATCTGATTCTTTTGTCATCTGTCTGGAGTTTTTTTCACTTCTCTGTGGCTCTGAAAACTGTTTCATTTTCATATTTGAGTTCTGGAATATATCTGGTAATAATTTTGGTGCTGTATATTTGTTTTTGGTTTTCTGTGTGAAGGAGTAAAGCCAGCTTGCTTCTATGCCACCATTTTGGAACTGGAACTGAGATATACAATTTTGATGTCTACTTTGTGTCTCTGTGAGGCAACAGATTCCCAGGGGTTTTTTTGTTTGTTTGTTTGTTTTTTCCAGATTTGACAACTGTCAAAATTGGGCTATGAAATGGAGAAGCAGTATGGATAATCACCCCATTACTTACTAGGTTTCATGTAATAAGTTTTAATCCTTAAAGGCCCCATTTCAACTCACATTGGGCCATATTCACTATCTTAACTGAGGTTTCATGGGATCCCATTTTGTCAAGCCAATGTCTAAGTACCAAAAACACTTCTATTTTATTTATTGTCTCAGAGCACCTATGTCCAATAGAGAATGTTTTACAGCAATGGGTATATGACTCCGGGAAATTTAGGCAAAGTTACAGGTAAATTGAGACATACCTGTTTTTTTCAATTTTATATTTAGTTTTCTTCTCAAGATAATAGGGACAGAGTGTTTAAATTTATGGGATTCCCACGTGTGGCTACAATTTGAGCCCCAGTATTGATTAAATCCATGAATATTTGTCAATTAGTGTATTTAGCAAATGTAAAGTTAAATTAGATCCTATGTTGTAGAGACACAAAAGCAAATTGGTGCCCTTTTAAAAATCTTTTTTTACATAAATTCCTTAATATATAAGTTAATAAATGAATTTTGAATTTCCAATAGAATCAAAGTATGAAATTTTACTTTGATTTAGTTACATATTATACATACATAATTTAACTATTTATTATATATTTATATTAAAATATTGTATGTGTATATATTTAATTACCTTTTATTTTTTCCTCCTATATCTAGGGGTTTGTTGTAAATGAATAAGTAACCTAGGGCTAGCATTATGTTTGCTAGACCTGTGGTTTGCTCAGTACTTAAAGTTTAAAGTTTCTCTTTTATTTTTCTTGGATTTGTAGTCAATCAAAGTGGTAGTTTCTTTTCTTGGGGGGTGAGGTTAGCCACCTAAAGCTGAGATTCTTGTTTTCTGTCTCTAGAATGATAAGAGGAAAAGATGGAGGAGGAAAGGTGGTCAGTGACTCTAGGGAGTAGCCTCTCTCTGGGATGACTCCACAACGACGAAACAAGCCCGTCTTTTTTTTTTTTTTTTTTTTTTTTGAGATGAAGTCTCACTCTGTCGCCCAGACTGGAGTACAGTGGTGCGATCTTGGCTCACTGCCGTCTCTGCCTCCCGGGTTCAAGCGATTCTCCACCCAAGTAGCTGGGATTACAGGCACCTGCCACCATGCCCTGCTAATTTTTTGTATTTTTAGTAGAGGCGAGGTTTCACCATGTTGGTCAGGCTGGTCTTGAACTCCTGACCTCAGTCGATCCACCCACCTTGGCCTCCCAAAGTGCTGGGATTACAGGTGTGAGCCACCGCTCCCAGCCCAAGCGCATCTTTTAAGCAAAATCTTTAAAATGGCTTGTATTTCTAGACGGTTAATGTCTTTTTCTTTTTCTTCTTTCTGTCTTTGGATGTTTACTTGACAAGTTCCTGATGGTACCCAAAGCCCCCTGTTGTTTTAATCTTACAACTTGTTAGCAGAATAAAATTGAGGGTGGCCTCCATGTGCACCAGCCTCCTAGGCAGCTGTTTCTCTTTCCAAGGTGACCCAATCAACCCCTGAGGTGTTGATTGTGCAACCACAGCAAGAAATGCAGAAACAAGGGAGCCACTAGCCCGGGATTGCCCCATCACATGAAGCCACGGCTGTGTCTGCAGGGATTATCCATGGCCCAGGGCCTAAAATTCGCATCCACCTTAGTGACTACAGACACTGCCGGTCTAACCAGGGGCAGCCTCCTGACAAGATTTTACTAAATGGCACTCTGCTATATCCATCAGGAGAACCACAGCTTCTCCACACGTTGTCACCCATTTGCTTTGCTAACAGAAATGGTATCTTGCCCTGGTCTCCATAGCTCACCTTGGCTCAACCTTGGGACAGTGAAAGAAAAAGTCAATACATGGCACCTCCATGGGGAAAATAAATGGGAAATGTCACTCCTCACTCTAAGGAGGAGTGGAGTTCACCCTCTGTGGATGCCTTCCCTATTAGGATTCCAGAAACACACCTAGCCCTTGCCCTAGATGGAGAATCCCCCTTCTCATGGGGTAGACCACCTTGGGAGCACATTACAGGTTCCTACTCGGTAACAATTTGGGGAGAACAACATGGCAGCACTCTACAGCAGCAACACAGCAGCACACAGTGGAGCAACTGAATTGCACTGAACAGAACGGCCTCACCAGTGAGGCAGCCACACCGGCGAGGATGTTAAAAGCCTCAGCAGCTCCGAGATATCTTGTGCTAAACAGAAGAGGTAGTCTATTGTGCCGACTACACCAATTTCTTAAATTTGCGATCTTTAAGATGCAGAGCTCTTGCCAATGATTGCGAGAGACATAAGATGAAAATAAAGATTTATTACTTACAGGTCCTGGGGGATACAGGCCCTGTCTGGAGGACACACACACACACACACACACATACACCCACACCCACACACACACACAGAGGTCAGGGGCAGTATGGGGAGGACAGAGGGGGAACCCATGGGTCAAGGCCTTTATTAGGGTACAGAATATTATTCAAACAGATTGTCCTCAGGGAGTTTTAATTGGTGGATTTAATGCAAGCAGACATGAGATCCAGGTAATTAGAGGTGGTCACTGCAGCAGGCAGGGTGTGGGGTCAGTGGGGCAGTCATACGGGCTGTATCCGGAAGTCCCATAGGGAGGAGGTCACCAGGAGGCAGTTGTATAAATCAGATATCTGATCAATCACACTGAGGAACTGGAAGGAGGTGGAGAACTGGAAACTATTTCAAAGGTGACTGAGCCCTGCTTCTGGTATGAGAAAGTCCAACTTCCATCCAAAACGGATGCCAAGGCATTGTAAAATTGTAAGCATTCACAAATACTTTCGATGCATTCTTATTTAGCTGACTTCTAGTTTTTACAGCCCAAATATCATCATTTTTCATTCTTATTTGGCAACATTCTGTTAGGTGCAGCATGTATGGAGGGCACCTCCTTTATTAATACATGTGGATTTGCTCTAATTGTGGTTTTTTCATTGGTTCCATTGCATGGCTACACTATGATCTTTTACCCACACCCCTGTTGCTGGATTTGAGGCTGCTCGTCACTTGTCACATTGACATGACCTTCTGCAGTGAACATCCTCATACACACATCTCTACCATGTGGAGTACTGTTCCTGGAGCTCATTCCTTCAACATGTATTTATGAAGTACCCTGTGCTGGGCTATTGGCTGGTCTCTGGCTTTAGCAGAGACAGAACAGGCAAGCTTGGCCTTCTCAGAGCTCACAGCACAGGGAGGCCTTCAGAAGTAGGATAGTGGTCAGAGCGTGTGCGCGTTAAACATGGTGAGGTCAATGTTGCTGTAGGGACTAAACTGCAGTCCCATCAGAAGTATATGGGAATGTCCATCTCCATGTCCTCACCTTTCTTGGCATAATTATTTGAGTACTGCATGTGTTCCTGTGTCCTATTCTTTGCCCACACATCATCCATATTTACCCTCTTAACCGTCCATCCTCCACCTTGTCCCTAAGTGCTGTTGTTAATAGCCCTGTGGTAGACCAGATGCCAGGAGCCCTGAGATATCCTAAGCAGCTCCCTCTGCCAGTCCTTCCAAGAGTTCTGGTTCCACAGGTGACACACCTGAACACAGGTAACCCCTGCAAAATCTGTGATTACCACGCAAGGCTGACAGTGAGTGGTGGGTGTTCTAGGAGGGGCCACCACCTCCATATGCAGGGTCAGAGAACACTGAGTGGAGCAGGAGGCTGATGACTTTGACCACAAGGTAGGTGGATGGGTATGTTTGGCTTTATAGGGAAGGGAAGGGAAGACAAGGGAAGACGAAGGGATAGGGGTGGGGAGGGGAAGGGGAGGGGAAGGGGGAGGGGAAAAGGGAAGGGGAAGGGGAAGGGAAAGTTTGGGCATTGCAGGCAACATCACAAAGGTTGGAACCTGCCTCTGGGGTACAAGAACAGCAAGGAGGCCACCCAGGATGCAGCTGAGGACGGAAGACATGGGGAGCAGTGGATCTAGGGGAGAAGCAGACTGTGATTGACCTTGGGGGCTGGGCGGTGAACAGAGGTGTGTTATGTGTGTCTGTCCCAGTCACAGATATGAGGAGGAGTGGGGCCGCAAGTGGCACCTGGTTCGGTGGGATTTCCTAATACCTGCTGTTCATCAGAGCCTCTCCATGTAGCATGTCAGTATAGATCTGAGGCTGTGTCTGGGAGGGGGAGCTGGTGGTCCAAGGCAGCCTGTGGTGCTTACTGTCCCTAGGGGTGGGAGGAGAGGGATGAGGACACCCCTGCGCAGTGAAGCCTCAGGTGTGTGGAGCCACAGGTATCTCACCTGGTGATTCTTGTCAGACACGTGCCTTGGGTGAGGATGTCAGGGTGAGAGTCACTGTCATTTTTCTTAAAATGTACATGGCATGGACCCAGGTATTCAGGGACCCAGAGAACAAGGCCCCTGGTGAGAGAGGGTTGCATGGAGCTGAGCAGTTTCATGTGCTCAGAGTGGGAGGGACTCCTGAAAAGACAAAGCCTCAATCCTACCTGTCAGGAGCCATGCCTATTTCCAGGAGAGATGACAAGGGTGACCCAGGACAGACATTGAGTGTGAGGACAGGACAGAGAGGACCCTGGTGGCTTCTCAGGTGTGGGAATGTGAGGTGGGGTTTGTTCCCATCCAAAGCACAGAAGCCCTCCATTGTACCCTGAGTGCTGTGTGTGACTAGCAGGGACACTGGATGGGTTGGACCTGTGCCTCTTGAAGGCAGGGCTGGATCTGTAGGACCAGAGATGCCTCTGTGGGTAAGAGGTGATGGGAATGAGGAAGATGGGGGTGACTGTGAACCTATTTTAGTTCCCTGGGGATGTGTGCTGAAGAGGAAGTGGCCTAGAACATTCCTTTTCTGGGTAAAGTGAAGCGGGGAAGCAGTGTGGATTCTTTTTGTTTTGTTTTGTTTTTAGATGGAGCCTCACTCTATCTCCCAGGCTGGAGTGCAGTGGTGCGATCTCAGCTCACTGCAACTTGTGTCTCCCAGGTTCAGGCAATTCTCCTGCCTCAGCCTCCCGAACAGCCAGGACTACAGGCATGAGCCACCAGGCCCGGCTAAATTTTTTGTATTTTTAGTAGAGATGGGGTTTCACCATGTTGGTCAGGCTGGTCTCGAACACCTGTCCTCAAGTGATCTGCCTGCCTCAGCCTCCAAAAGTGCTGGGACTACAGGCGTGAGCCACTGCTCTCGGCCGCGGTGTGGATTCTTCAGTGTGTTCTGATAGCCATGTGTCACTACACACTTGTTCTTTATGTCTTCACATCTCATCCTGTTGCATTTTAAAGCATGTTCATAGTATGCAGTTTTGCCTAATAAAGCATTCTCATATATACATACATATAGATAGATGATAGATAGATAGATAGATAGATAGATAGATAGATAGATAGATAGATAGATAGATAGATATTCAGACAGATCTTCAGGCCCCACTTGTCCCTGAGGAGGATTATTTGCCTATGGAAAGAACAAGCAGATGGCAAAGGCCTCTGACACCAAGCACAAGGCTCAGCCTGGAGGAGCTCACAGAGGAGCCCAGGAGATCCTCTCAAGCATCTCCTCAAGGGCTCAGCTGGGGATGGAGGAGCAGGATGCTGAGCTCAGCGGATGCTCCAGGCTGAGTGATGGATGTGCTTCAAAGGTCAGGCACAGAGAATCAGACGTTAATCATGGAAGGTTCCCACCATGTTGTAGGCAGAGACAGTGGCCTGAGTGTCAGGGGCAGGGAGACTCACCATGAGGCCAAAGCAGGCTGTGAGCCCCCCAAGAGACCACATCCTGGATGCAGCAAGCAGCCCTGCAGGGAGTGGCAGCAGATGTGCTAAAAACCATGATATCCAGACATGCAAAGGTTTCGCAATTTATGGATTAGAGAAGAATAGCATTATCCCTGTAATAGCTTCCTCTTTCTTACACTCTTTCTCATATAGAATAGAATGGGCAGCTTTTCCTGCAGTTCCCTCCTATCTGCATGCTCCCTGCTGCCACCTGGAAATTAGCCTCACTGAGTCACTGTCCGTGGTGCTGATGTCCATGAACTATTGAAGGGCCGGTGAGTTGTGATCTTTCAGTCACCTCTGCTTTCTGTTATTCTTAGCAACTAAGCATGTCACCAAGAAGAAGGTGGAGAGGTACTAGGGGCATGGAGAGCCCTCCGTCTCCCTCTCTCAGGATCTGGAGGGTGCTGGGGATGTTAATGCAGGAACTGACGCCACAGTCATGATGAACCCATCCAGGTGCCCATGTGTAGTTTGTAGTGAACGATGATGAGAAGATGGCCTTGAGAGGAGTGATGGACAGAACAAGGGCCTCTCAAAGATGTGTACATCCTCATCCCCAGATCTGTGGACATGTCACGTGGTAAAGGACACTTTACAGATTAAAGGAAGGATCATGAGATGGGGAGGTTGTTGTGGTTTATCCCAGGTGCGTCCAAAATAACCACAAGGCTCCTTCCTTTTAAGTGAGAGAGGGAGGTGGGAGGAGGTGGAGATGTGGGGATGGAAGCAGGGCACAGAATAGTTTCAAGATGCTGTGCTGCTGGCTTTGAAGATGGAGAAAGAGGACACAGCCAAGGTTGCAGGAGGCCTCTAGGAGGTGGAAAAGGAGAGGAAATGCACTCTTCCCTGGAGCCTCTAGAAAGAACACAGCCATGTGGGCACTTTGGTTCAGGTTTCTATGTCACTAAGCTTGTGGTAATTTGTCACAGCCTCAACAGAAAACTAAAGAGGCCTCACCTTGTCTCATCTGACGCTGTGTGCAGGTGGGATCAGGGGTCATTTAGAGCTAAATCCTGATGCAAATCCCGATATAAAACAACCCATTGCGGGTTGTTTTCTTACCTCTCATCTCAGGACGAACAACCTGTGGCAGTGGCAGAACACTCTTGGGAACTGTGGCTCTGTGCTTTAGTGCAGGCACCAGCTCACTTGTGGGAAGGTGGCACCTGGTTCAAGTGAACCTATATGAGATCATCACCCTTCCAGGGGCCCTCAGGGAAGGGCTGAGAACTGCTGTCCCAGGTGTGTGGAGGAGCTGCAGGCGAGATAGGGCTGTGGGCCAGGGAGAGGAGCAGACAGGTTGTCCCATCGCCATGGGAGCCTGCATGAGCTTTAGATGGGGGAGTCCTGCACCTCTGACCTGGATGCTCCTGTGTAAAGAGTTGGCTTGCTCAGTGAGATCCATGCCAGGGGGTAAAGTGGGAACTGATGAGCAATGAGGGGCCAGAGTCCTGGGTAGTGCTCAAGGACTGAATTATGCGTCTGTATTAATCTTGGTTGCTCTGACAGCCCCTCTCTGTGCCCCACCAGGGATAAAGATGTCCTGAGCAGTAGCCACTGGGACAGAGGAGAACCTAGTGGCCAGGTATAAGCACACAGGATCCTGGATTTGGGGACAGGTAAGTTCATTTGTGGAGGACAGTGATAGACTGGGCCTCCAGGGCCTGGGTGAAGAGGGCAGCAGGGGTCAGGACACTGGAGGCTGCGTAGGGGCCACAGCCGCAACCTATACCACCCATGGTTGCTCCCGCATTGCTCACCTTTTGTGGACATCAGATGGCCCCATCTTCTGTGCTCCTGAGACCCCACATGCATTCACAGAGGGACCCAGGCTGGGGCTGTGCATGGCCTTGGTCCCTGGGGTAGTGTGAGGACAGCTGAGCGCTCGGCTGGCTGGGCAGGGCTCATGTGAATCTTGCCCTTTCCTGTGTAGGGCCCACCCCAGCCTGACTCCCAACCCCTATTTCTGCCTCCCAGGGAAGAGAGACTGTGGTTGAGACAAGGTGGAGATATTTTCCCTGTGTGACCCGGGAGAGAATGGACACGGAGTTTCAGGTGAGTTTCTGCTAAGTTCCCGTGAGCAGAAAAAGAGCCAATGAGAGGAAGGGTCCTCTTTATTCAGATCCTTTCCTGGTGACCCCGGGTGGGCCACAGGCCCATTCACTTTCCTTGCAAGCCCCCGCTTCCTGTGGTGATGAGAGGCCTTTGTCCCGGCCCACCCAGAGCCCAGGGCAACCTGTCAGGGTCTCCAGATATTCAGCAGGGACTCCCATCCCTCCCTGTCCCCAGGCCTGTGTCTCCTCAGGACTCAGAGCTGGTTCTCTGGCTCAGGCTCCATGTCCTTCCCCGTCCCCAGGGCTGGGAGCTTCGGGGACGCTCCATCAACCCACAAGAGCAGCTCCCAGAGGAACCTAAGAGACCACATCTGCTTTGTGGTCGATCTGGCAGTAAATGTTTGCATCAGAGTATAGCAATTCCTGTAAAAACAGAGAAGAGGCCTCAACCCCTGTAGCCTTCTCAGAACAGTGTCTGGCATCTCCCAGGCTCTGGGCCCACCCAGGGCTTCTCTGGGGCTGAACCTGGCTGTGCTCAGGGGGTCCCTGTTCCCAGGCCCCTCCCTCCTCTGCTCACCACCACCTGTTCTCATTTTCACTGCATTTTCCTGAATCTGAGCTCAGCCAGGTGCTGGTGGGGGCAGATCCTGGGTCCCCTGGAGCCTGCGGGACCAGAACATCCATGGCCCACACTCACCTCATAGATGGGAGTGGCTGTTCTGGGGCTGGGTAGAGGGGCCTGGGCAGGGGAGAGAGGAGATGTCAGGGGACAGGGAGGGAGGGTCACGGAAGCCCAGCCTGGAAGGTTCCTGTCTCTGATCGGCCAGGACTTACTTCCCTGCCTCCACTTCCACTCATTTCCCCTCAGGATTGACCAGCTCTGCCCCTGAGCTCAGCCTCCCAGTGTGGACACAACACCCTGACCCCTGTCCTGGCTGGGCCCACCCCGCACCCTTGTTAATGTGGGCCTCTGACTGATGGTCCCAGTGTCCACTCTGCACCTGCTGGACTCCAGGGTTCTCCTCAGGTGTAGAGGGTCCCGGGGAGGGGTCAGCACATGGCGTGGGTGGTCCTGGCCCTGTAGAGAGGCCCGGATCCTGGCCGGAGGCACTCACTTTGACCTGACTGTTCTGGGGAAAGGTGGGTCAGTGCTGTGCTGTGGGGTTGATGGTCCCCCTGCCCTGAGCCTGCACTGTTGGGACCCCAGTAGAAAAGGGCTGGGGAGGGAACAGGCTTACCGAGAAGGTGGATCTGTGAGAGGGACCATGGCCTGGGGACAGAGACAGGAGTGAGCAGCAGGGTGGGAGGAGAGCCTGGGCCCCTCCTGCAGGAGAGTGTAGGGGTCCTCAGCTCCCAGAGAATCAGGGAGAGGGAGCCTCTTCCCAGGGGAGACCTGAGCAGCTGAGGTCGAGGAGGTGACCCACGACCCAGAGCCCACAGATCAGTCTGAACAAGACAGTCGGGGTCCCCTGTGTCATGTTTCCTGACATCCTCCTTGCAGCCCCAAAGAAAGGGTCAGAGGCCCCCAGGGGGTGACTGGCAGGAGTGGACACCGTAGGGCAGGCCTAGGGGCTCCCACACCTGGGCTGAAGGGACACTCACCAGGGGTGGAGGCTGGGGGCGGCTGCTCCCTGAGGTCACGCTGGATGCTGGCCCTAGGAAAGGTCAGGATTATTCATGAGGGTGCAGGGAGAAATCACAGGTTTAGGGGCAGAATAAAGGACAAGGAAGGGACTCCATTTTCAAGGACTGGAGTGAAGGCCTCCTGTCTCCATCAGTTTCGTGGTAGGAGCGGCCGAGGACGGGGAGCTGAGGATAGGCCTTAAGCAGTCACGTCTGTCCTGGCCAGAGAGGAAGGACCCCCCCAGGCAGATGCCGGGTGAGGAGAACATTGACCCAGGGACCCAGGAAAGGGACTGAGGACTCAGGGAGGGAATCAGACCACCTGCGTTTGCCTGAGAGGAAGGGTCAAGGCCCCAGAGGGAAAGCAGGGCCGGCTGTGTGTGCAGGACACTGGGGGAGCTGGGGGCATGGGGAGGCAAGGAGCATGTATCATATTCTCCCAGAACTCAGTATCCCTGCCATGGCCAGACCCTCCTTTCAGGCCTGGAGATGCTGAAATGGGGCAATGGCCTTGTCCTCTCTCTCTCCACCCCTTGGCAAGAGACATAAAGGACAGCAGGTCCTGAGGTCCAGGTTCTCCCATCTCACACCTCAGGGACATCAATCACGATGGGGTGCTGACCCTACCCAGCCTGTCCAGGCTTTGCCACTCCCCACTGCGTGACCATGCCCAGGACCCCCACCATGGATCTCAAGCCTGCAAATCCCTCCTCACTGGGTGGGTAAATTCAATGAACAGCAGAAGGTACCAGGTTCTGAGCACTCCCGTCTTATCTCCCTCCCTCCCTCCCTCCCTTCCTCCCTCCAGGCAGCTGTGGCTTTGCTGTGTTAGGGAACTAGGACAGCACTCAGGGGTGCAACCTTAACTGTGCCACATTCATAAAGGAAGAGGCAGCCTAGGATCAGCAGCTGGCAAGGGAGGAGCCATGGAATGAGAGAGAAGGATTCCTTGGGAGGATGCGGAAAGCCTGGCCCTGAATACAGGGCGGGGTCTCCCTCCTCCCTGACTGGGGTCAGCCTAGGGGTGGGAGGAGGCTGGGGAAAAGCTGCGGTACCTTCCAGTCCTGGAGAGAAGCAGAAAACACACCAGGGCGGCCACCAGAGCCACCCCAACCAGGACCCCAGTCACGATGCCAGCGACGGCCCCCACAGGAAGGCCTGGGACGTTGTTTTCTGCAGAAAGGGGAAGGCAAAGGGGACAAGGCCCAAGTTTGTTCCAAGGGAAACCATAAGAGGCATTGCAGGGCAGGGGCATAGTCAGGGAGGAAGGAAATGCTCCAGAGCCTGAGTGTGGTCTGTTGGGCTGTCCTCATAGCTGACTCCCTTGCTCTCCACGGTTGCACCATTTTCTGTGTCTCAGACTTGACACACTGGGATGTACCAACTCCTACATTCTCCCACAGGTGCTTGCACCTCGCCCTGCTCCTGTACCTTTAAATCCCTTCTTCCTCTCATGTCACACCTCTTCCCTCTGTTGCTTTTTTCTTTTTCTTTTTTTTTTGGATGGAGTCTTGCTCTGTCACCCAGACTGGAGTGCACTGACGCAATCTCGGCTCACTGCAACCTCCATCTCCCAAGTTCAAGCGATTCTCTTGCCTCAGCCTCCCAAGTAGCTGGGATTACAGGTTTGTGCCACCATGCCAGGCTAATTTTTATATTTTTAGTAGAGATGAAATTTCGCCATGTTGTCCAGGCTGGTCTTGAACTCCTGACCTCAGATGATCTGCCCGCCTCGGCCTCCCAAAGTGCTGGGATTACAGGCATGAGCCACTGCGCCCAGTCTTCCTCTTGTTTCTTCTTTTCCATTCCATGATTGTCACAGAGAGCGAGCCCTCACTGTCAACTCCATGCTGATGAGCGGGGATGATGTTCATTGACTATTTTCAGGGGTCTTCCATGTGCCAGGCACAGTGGGCACCAACCTACCTACAGCTCATCTCATCCTCACATCACCTTGAGGGAGAGGGGCATCACCGCCATCTGCAGAGTTAGAATCTGAGACTTACAGTACCTCAGTAAGTCAAGGAAGGTCACAGAACTCGTACATGATAAAACCAAATTTTTACTGCATTGTTCCTGATTTTATTGCCAATAACAACATCAAAAAAATAAGAATACTAGTTGATAGCATCAGTTGAGCTCTCGCCCTGTGTATAACTCTGCTTTAATCTCTTTAATCTCCTAATAAACATCCTCACAACCACTCTGAGATCCAGGTGTTACAGTGAGTTTGATCTCTAGCATATATATACATATATATAGATAGATAGATAGATAGATAGATAGATAGATAGATAGATAGATATAGTAGCTGTTGTTATTCTTTCTTAGCCTGTCCATCTCTCTGCTCACAGCATCCGTCTGTTCTGCACATTGTCTATGCTTTCCATTGCAGCCTTTAGCATATTAGCCAGTATTGTTTTTTGTTTGTTTGTTTTAGAGATGGAATCTCGCTCTGTTGCCCAGGCTGGAGTGCAGTGGCACAATCTAGGCTCACCGCAACCTCCGCTTCACAGGTTCAAGCAATTCTCCTGCCTCAGCCTTCCGAGTATCTAGGATTACAGGCACCCACCACCATGCCTGCCTAATTTTTTGTATTTTTAGTAGAGACGGGGTTTTGCCATGTTGGCCAGGCTGGTATCGAACTCCTGACCTCAGGTGATCTGCCTGCCTCGGCCTCCCAAATGCTGGGATTACAGGCATGAGCCACCGCTCCTGGCCCCAGAGTTGTTTTAAATTCCTGGTCTGATAATTTCAACATCCCTGCCACATCCCTGCCACATCTGCATCTGGTTCTGATGCTTGTTCTGTCTTTCGAACTGCATTTTTTTTTTTTTTTTTTTTTTTGCCTCTAGTCTGTCTTGTAGTTTTTGTTGAAAGCCAGGACATGATGTACTGGGCAACAGGAACTTGGGTGAGCAGGCGTTCAGTGATGCGGTGGTGAGTGGGGGGAGGGAGGGGTTCTGTGGTCCTGGATAGAGTCTGTGCCCTGGGCTGTGAATGTCACAAGTGCCTCTCAGTTTTTTCTCTCCTTTAGGTGGGACATGATGGCTAGAGGGGGCTGGAGTTGGATATTTCCCACCCCCCTCAGTCAGTTAGGCTCCCATAAACCCCCAGCAGGTGAGGCTCTGGTAAAATAACGATTTATTCCTGCTAACTAATAACTATCTGAACTTGCTAAGAAGAACAGATGCTCTGGCATATTTTTAAATATTTACTTTTTTTCTACTCCCCAGAAAGGATAGGGGGGATTATTATGGGATATTCATAGTGAGAACCAGGTAGAGCTCCAGGGTGTAAGGCAAACGTGTGGGACTACCCGCAAGCCTGATCCCTCCCCTGAAAACCTTCCCACAGCCCTGCAGCCCCAGGGTCAGATGAGACTCAGCTCCCAGGGGCAGATTTAGGAGAAACGGGCCAGATGAATGAGACATGGGTCTTAGGCTCTAGAGGGACAGAAAACAGGTGTGGCCAGAACCTCCTAGGATCTTGTATCCACATCTCTGTCTCTGAAGAGGTTATAGATCATTCCTACATTCAATCCCTCCCTCCTTCATAAGAGAACTACAGAGTGTGTGTCTCACGTTGGGCCCAGAACCTCCTAGGATCTTGTATCCAGGTCTCTGTCTCTGAAGAGGTTATAGATCATTCCTTCATTCATTCCCTCCCTCCTTCATGAGAGAACTACGGAGTATGTGTCTCACACTGGGCCCTGGCTGGTGCAGGGTGTGAATGGGGAGAGAAAGCAAAGTCCTCCCCTTTATCCTCCTGTTGGAATGATACCCACACATCAGAAAACACACGAAACCATTTCATGTCCAGAGATGCGGGGTGTGGACCTGAGCGAGGAGGCCTGAACTTCCCCAGCACTGACTGATTGTTGAGGCAGGTGATTTAGTTAAGAAAAAACTGATTAATTCTGTATTTACTCATAACTCTCCAGACCAGAATCTCCCCCTCCGAGCTGTAGACACCTAAGAAGAAAACATCCGAACCAGTGGCTGTTCTGAGGTCCACAGACACCTAGTAAGGCACCAGGGATGAAGGAGAGGACGTGGCAGCAGCTGCAGACAGCCCTCATGTGACTCTGCCAGCTGCGATCTGCCCACCGTGGCCGGTGTCTGTATCTCTCTGTGCCTCAGTTTCCCCTCCATACAATATGTAAATGGAAAATGGTCTGAGGCTTGCCACTTTGTCTGTGAATGAACTTTAAATTATTCACAGGATCTGACATGAAGCTTGGCACAGAGGAGGTGTTCACATCAACAGCATCTGTTATTTGCCTCCATGGGAGAGCACCCCTGGGCATGATCCCCGGTGGACAAGAAGCTGCCAGGAACATTTTCTCCCCTCTGTTCCTACCCCTGGGCCACTGACTGCCCAAGGGCATCTCTTAAGCTCCTCATTCAGGGGGCCAATGCCCTAGTAATCCTGTCCCCCTGCCCTCTCCAGGCTGAGTCCCAGGGAAAGTGGTAGGCTCTGTCCTTGTCTAGATGAGACTCTGGGAGCTGAGCCCTCACTGATGAGAAGCTTCAGGAACCACAGCCCGCAGACATCTGGTAAATCCTTGCTCCCAGTAAGCCCTGCCCAGGAGACCACACCCCAGCCCTGACACAGGCTTCCCGGGGTCACACGGAGTCAGGAGTCCTGAGGCTGGGCTTTTGTGAGGTTCCCAGGACGCCCTCAGGCCAGGCCCTGACCCAGTTCTCCAGGGTCTTTCTCAGGGTCAGGTTCATGGGGAGGGCATGGGGTGCTTGGCTGAGACTGACCTCCCCCTGCTGAGGCCCCCCCGCCCCCGCCATCAGTGTCTGCAGGGCCTGGATGCAGGAAAGGAATTCTGATCTGTTGAAGTTTACCTACCATGTGTGTGTCCTGCACTAAATGCCCAAATCTCAACACGGGACAAAATGCAGAGGGGGATGCAGGCACAGCCCAGGCCTGACAATCTCATGTGTGTGAAGCAGAACTGACCGCCAGCACCCAGAGGTATGGGGGAATCACTCACGGTGTACGTGGAGCTGGCCAGTTGCTTGGTCAGAGTCGTAACTGGCATTTATGGTTCGTAGGGTGTAGGATCCTGCGTCCTCCAGGGTGATGTTTTGGAACAGCAGGGATCCATTGGGGTATACTGTCTCTCGACCACTGTATGCGGCCCCTGGGATATTTGCTTGAATGTCTGTTATATAACCAGCAATGAGAGGGCTCCCTTCTGCCGTTTTCCCCTTGTGCCAATAATAGGCTTGAATAGTTTCTGAAATATTGCAGGCCAGTAGAAGAACATCCTTTCCCTCTGCAGCACTGGACGGCAGGGCTTCAATAGTGAACTGGACAGTGGTGGGCGGGTGCCAGAAGGTTAAAAGTGAGGCTAGGAGGTGAAGACAGCATCAGTCAATACTGGGACCTATGGAGTGGGATGGAAAGATAAGGCCCTGGGTCCTCAGCAGGTCTCCTCATCCCTCAGCCTTGGAGTGTGTGTGTGTGTGTGTGTGTGTGTGTGTGTGTGTGTGTGTGTGTGTGTGTGTGTGTGTGTCCCTGGGTCAGCAGCATGACCCCCATTCCTTCAACAGCTTGGACCTTGGCATTTCCCTGGTGGAATCTTCTTCCCCAGGGGTCTGCACGGCTCCCTCCCCACTGCCCTCAGATCCTGCTCACATCAGGGTGTTTTTGGGAGACCCCTCCCCTGACACCTCCTCTAGAGACCCTGGGTCTTCCCTTTCTGACCTTTCCCAGCTCTGTTCCCTCCAGGGCTCTTGTCAGCACCTGACCTCACATTCTAGATCTCTTTAGGTGTTTGTCTTCCTCCCCATGAGAGCGTGAGCTCTGTGAGGGCGGGGACTTGTGTGATCTTGGTTGCACCCCAGTGCCTGGCACAGGCTGCAGACTCCTGTAGATGAGTTCATGAGCATTCTCAGGGCCTCCAAGTCCTGAGGTTTATTTCCCAGTGTCTGAGGTTGTTGGCTAAGAGCAGTGTTTTATGCCCTGGTTATGTTTTTATTTGAAGTGTCATCTGGTATAGTTATTATCATTTTTCAAAATGTAGTGGCCAGTGATGATTAACCAGGACGAGAGAACACTTGAGATTTTCCTGCCTTTTACCAATTCCAGTTCACTGAGATTTTCCTGTTGTGACCCCTGCCCCTCTCTGATGTTCTCTCCCTTATCCAGCCTCCAACAGAGGCCCTCAGTCCCCTCTCAGAGCCCCAGGAGACCCCAGCCAGAAGCCCTCTATCCCCTCCTACCCAAGAGACCCCAGTCAGTCTCTGTGCTCCCTCTTCCCACCACTCCCAGAGAGTCCTCCCCTCACCTGTGATCAGGAGCCCCTGCCAGGGCCTGTGCCCTCCACGGGGAGCGGCTGAGGGGGGGCCCATGGTCTCTGCTGCCTGCTTGTCCTCTGTGGAGAGGAGCTGGGCTCCAGGAACGCTCTTGTCAGAGCTGCTGTGACTGTCGGCTGTCGGGGCTGCTGACCTTCCTCCTTCTGTGCTGAGCCTCCTCCCGGGCAGAAGCACTTCCCAGGGCCAGGGGCAGAGGCGGGGCTCTTCCCAGGTCACCCCTCTGCCCCTCCCCTCTCATTTCTGCCTTTTTTGTCCCTCCTTCCCCTTTCTCTTCTGTGTACATTACAGTTTCCTAACCACACTTTGAGAAGCAGGGTTGGTGGAGTCCCCTGTCCCCAGAGAGGGTGACTTGTCACCCCTGCACTGACCCTTTGGGAATGTCACCACAAACAGAGGTACTCTGGGGTCTCCCAAACTTGGGGAACTGTTTCCTTTTGTGACACAGAGACCCAGCTGGGCCCCCAGGTCTCCTCATGCTCCCCAATACTCAGGGAGTGTGAGATGATACCCAGCAGGAAGGTGACAGAGGTGGCTCTGTGGGATAGAAAATGGGGGGCGACTACGGGGGGGACCAGTCCTCTCTCTCCAGTGTCACCAGCCTTGCCTCTGACCCAGGGACAGAGATCCAGGCCTGGGGGTCTCAGGAGGATCCCCAGCTCCTGGATGTGGAGGGAGGTGTCCTGCATGTCCTGGGAAGAGAGGACTGTGGTGGAGGGAGGTGGGTGGCTCTGGGTTCTGCTGTCCTTGAGGAGGGATTCAGGGAGATCCTCCCTCTCCGTTTCTGTTGGCTGAGCTGTGGCTTAGGGCCTGTGCATGTTCTCCCTTACCATCCCGGGTGGCCTCTGTCCTCTGTGAAGGTGATTGTCCTGTTGTCACTGTACCTTCCCCATGCATGATACCAGGAGAAAGTGGAGAACTGAGCAGAGAATCCTGGCAGAGCAGGATCCTCAGAGGCTCCAGGAAGGATCAGGAGAGACAGAGCAGGCACATGGGAGGGACTGGAAGGGCCTGCTGGAGCAAAGTATGGAAACCAGGCTTCACCTCCACCTCCTTAGCAAAGCCAGATTCCTGTCCAGGGGAATCCATTTCCTGTGTTGTCTGCGTGCAATGTTGCCCCTGGAGAGCAAGAGGAACCCTGTGGTAAAAGTCAGGGGCTTCCCCAGGGATGCTGACCAGGGTCCACGTGGTATGAGTTGGCCCTGGCCCCTGGGCAGAGGTGGGCTCTGACCTCCAGACTGCAGGGTCAGGTCATCCTTGGTCCTGTTCACTGTGGGTCCCCAGGATGTCCAACTCCATGCAGTGCAGGATGAGCTCAGGGAGAGGACGAGAGTTGTCCAGAGCACTCCTGGTCCTGATTTGGGAGAACTGTCCTGCAGGCGGATGGGCTGCCTCAGAAAGAGCCATCCGTCCCCAAGGTTTCAAAAGAAGGGCCCAGGGAGGTGTCTCTGGGGGTTTAGAGAGAGGGCACTGGCCTGGGAGGTGGTCCTCGGTGTGTTCTGTGTTCCTCCATCACAACACTGGGAGTTCCGCCTCCAGGTCATCTGTGTCCCTGTCTGTCACCTGCCCCAGGCCTCTCCACAGGGCCCAGGAGCTGGGGCAGCTCCTACCTGCAGGCTGCAAGGGATACCTGGTTCCTGTATTAGAGCAGGGGAGGCCCCGTGACCCTCAGTCCCTCTGAGATGGAAACAAAGGCAGATCCTGGGTTATCCTGTCCCCTCCTGCAGGAGAAGTTCCCCTGGATCCCCTGGTGAAATGTCTGCAGGGACCATAGGCAGATGTCCCAAATACTGGGGATCTCGAGGCTGGGGAATCACTCCCTGACTTTCTTGTGGTCATTCTGCCCTGGTGGAAGATCCACCTGGGATCGAATATCCGGAGTTTGTGTCAGTTTTGGTGTGTTTGTGAGAAAGACATATGTTAGAGCCTGGAGGGAATGTCAGTGAATGATGTCAGGGAATGAATTGGGTTTGCCCCTCACTGTTAGAAAGACCCTGAATTCCCTCCCGATGCTACTAGGGTAAAAGCCATGTTCTTATGCTCATTTCTCTAAGGAAATGCAAATAGAGTTTATTAAGGCGTTTCTGGCCAACTAAGGTGGATTTTGTCATGTAGACACAATATAGACCATAATACATGTACATATGCAAAAACACACCTAAACACATATCCACAAACAAATAAAAATCTTACAGCTTTCATTTTAGAATTTTAGTGATGAGATAGTAATACAAACTCACTAGTTGATTAAAGTCAACTGGATCCAATTGTATTTCTGACAAATTGGAATCGTTAACATGGATAAACTTTATTTGCCCCTATAGGTAATATAATGAAGGCTGGGGGAAATATTTTGGGTAAAGCAGTTTCTAATGGCAGTGTAACTTATAAACAAATAAACAAATGAAACCTCTACAGTTTCAGCATCTTTTTTTTTTCTGTTTCACATGAGTTTAGGATTAAATTTTCAATTGCTTACACTTTAGCTAGAACTGGCTGAATTGTATAAGAAAAAAAAATCTCCAACTAGCCTTAAACTAGATTTTTTGTGTGGGTTGGAGGGGGGCGGGTGGTGGTGATGTGGTTTGCTTGATTAACAAATGTGGATGAGGAAGGATTTTAGCTTTTTTTCCTGGCTTTTTCTTTTTTGCCTCTGCATGGCAAAAGAAGAAAAAAGTTTATGTCGGACAGAGACACCTTAAATTATTGCTCTGAGTTCAAGATTTTGACCTGTATGATCTGAGAGCCTAACTTTTATAACCATGTATTTTTTTAATTATTGATTTTTAATTGTGCTCCATTATAAGCAATTATTAGTTAGACAAACTTAAATTTACATTTCCTAAAGGTGTCTAAGTTGTTTCTTATCATGGAGTTGTTTAATTTGTAAAGCCATTAATTTTAAAGCCCTTCAAGATTTCTTTTTTAAAACTCTGGGCTAGAATGCCATAAGCAGTGAGTTTTATCTCAACACCAGTAGAAAAGTCAGCAGATTCAAAGTAGGTAGAGAAAAAAAAATAGAGAATTTAGAAGACTCTACATTTCCACCCTATAGATGCAGGGCTTTTTAAAACAGGTTGAATGATGATCATTGAGTACTGAATTTTCCTTGATGTAATTTTGCTCATAAACTTTAAAATGTGCACAAGAAAGAACCATAAAATGTAGCCAGCTGGAGCCCCAGAAAACCTGGCATGCCTTAATGCTTGAGAGCCCCATTCCATTTCTTATTAATCTCTTGAAAGTGAAGAAAATTTTACAAATCCTGCCAGAGAATGTCAGGCATTTGTACCAGTGTTTTAGATGGTGGCAACCACGCTAGTGGCTGTTAATTAGCCATTTTGTGCCCGTCATTTAGAATGTCTATTTTTTTGTGTTCTGGGATGATTTTCAGAAGCAAGCAAGGGGAAAAGAGTCAAACCAAATAAAAAGAAATCCAGATAAGAGCATTCACAAGAATTTTAACCCAGGCATGCAGATTTTTAAAGTATTTAAATTAGGCACACAGGCCAAAATGGAAGTAAATTCACCAGAATAGACTTGCCTCACAGGCAGAATGTAAATTTTGTAGAATCCAGAGTACGTGATCTAGAAAGATATACGCCTTTCTCTCAGAAAGGACTTGCTAGAAAAGACAAAAAGTTTTTTTTTTTTTTATCATCCCAGGAGAAATGTATGGTCTTTTACTAAGGCAGCCTTATCCAAATCAGATTCCAAATAAAGTCAAGAGCTTCTACCAAAAAGAGGCTCTGCTTGAGCAAAGACTTGTCAGGGCAGGAAAGGTGAGTGTGGAAGCAGAGAGCTCAAACTTCTCAAGTGAGTAGTGCACACTGGTTCAAAGATCACAGATTTCTTCTGATAGTGATCTTTCCCAGATCCCACTTCTGACACCATATATGGTAACAAACAGAGTGAGGCTTTCTATGAGAAACTGATGTTTATTTGGGAGTAGCACATTTCAATGGAAATGCATGTGCCATAGTAAAATGATCTACATATTCGAGTTTTTAAAGGAAAAAATTGGGATTATTATCTAGTCATTTTGAAAAAAAAAAAAAAAAACTAGCTACAAAGATCAATAGCCAGAATGATGCCACTGTGAGGTTCTATAGGCAGTTGCTGGGCAGATGTCCTTGCAGAAGTAGTTTTCATATAAGGTTGTGATGGCCTTTGTATAAACTTGTGGCTTTTGCAGAGTCTTTTGTGATAGTTTTGTTATCAGGCATGAGGATCCTCTCTTCATGGTCTTCTCTGGCTCTATTTGTCAGAGTTTTTTTTCACACTAGTGACTCATTTTGACTCTGACAACTTTCACATCTGTTAATACTTAAAGAATAAATAAAATTAAAAAGACTGAAGTCTAGTAGAAAAGTAGGCAAATATATAAACAGTTTACAGAAGAAAAAACAATTTGAATGATTCGTAGACATATGAACAAAATACCCGCACACATGCAGGAGAAACGGACATTGATATTATCCTGGAAAGGTGAGGATCATAATATGGCCCAGTGGTTTTAAATGCTGAAAAATTCCATTTGATAACACAACGTGTGGGAAGAACTTTGGTAAAAATTGTACTTCCTAACTTTGTTGGGTGACATGAAAATTTGTACCAACTGTGTGGCATCAAATTTGTCAACACTTATCAAAATTTAACATATGCATTCTCTTTGCCTCCCAAACTGCACTGCAAGGAATTTATCACACACTCATGAAAAATGACACCTAATCACGGTTTCTCATGGCAGTGATGGCTTAACAGCAAAATACTGAAAACAACCTACATTTACATTAGCATAGTTAAACAGGTTATATACATTTACACAATGGAATATGAGGCAGATATGTAACCAACAGGGAATTGTTTTAGCCACTGATGCGGAAACTCCTCCGTAGTGTTTTTAAATTATATGGCATAAACAACATATAGCCTATGTGTGGTTTTCACATTGAATGTGATCTTAATTTTTTTTTTTTTTTTGAGACAGGGTCTCATCTTGTTCCCAGGCTGGAGTGCAGTGGCATGATCTTGGCTCACTGCAGCCTCAATCTCCCAGGCTCAAGTGATCCTCCTGCCTCAGCCCCCGCCCCCCAAGTAGCTGGGACTACAGGCATGTACCACCATGCCTGGCTAATTTTTGTACTTTTTTGTAAAGACAGGGTTTCACCATGTTGCCCAGGCTGTTCTTGAACTCCTCAGCTCAAGTGATCCTCCAGCCTTGGCCTCCCAAAGTGCTGGGATTACAGGCGTGAGTCATCGTGTCCGGCCTAATCTTTTTAAACTTTAGAGTTGAGTTCATATGTATTTATTCTATAACTTTTGTTTTTTAACTTAATACTTCTGTATTTGGGGTATTTTTTTCTATTGTCCACTTTTCTGGTGTGTTTCCATCCATTGTTTTTGACTGATTCACTTCTTTGACTTAATGATATGGTATATATATATATTTTTTTTTCTTTTTTTGACAGAGTCTTGCCCTGTCACTCAGGCTGGAGTGCAATGATGCCATCTCGGCTCACTGCAACCTCCGCTTCTCGGGTTCAAGTGATTCTCCTGCCTCAGCCTCCTGAGTAGCTGGGATTACAGGTACGTGCCTCCACGCCCAGCTAATTTTTGTATTTTTAGTAAAGATGGGGGTTTCACCATGTTGGCCAGGCTGGTCTCGAACTGCCAACCTCATGATCCACCCGCCTCAGACTCCCAAAGTGCTCAGATTACAGGCGTGAGCCACCGTGCCCAGCCCCATGATATAGTATCTTTTTCCTTTAATGTTATCTCCTACATCTCATCACAAACATTTATGTATACTTCACAATTACCTTCTGGTTCCCAAATTATGACTCTTGCACAGTGAGGATTCTTCGAGATCTCTCCCTGTTTTCAGCACTCCCTGAAATGTTTTCAAAGCTTCCTTTATATTGACATTTATGGATATTTTGAGCTAGTACAGATTTCTCCTACTCCAAGATATGGATTCACCTGTGCCTCCAGGAGCACTGGCTCGTCTAATAAAAATAAGAATTAGAAAATAAATCATATCACAGACCACAAACTGGACCCATGGGGTGAATTTTAATTGTTTTCCATGAATACAATTGCAGAGAGGATAATATTGTTACCAGTGGAAGGTGTCCAGGTTCTTGGTGTATTGGACAAAACGCACAAACAAGGCAATAAAAGAATGAAGCAAAAAACACAGATTCATTTAAATGAAAGTACACTCCACAGAGTAGAAGTGGCCTCAAGCAAGCAGCTCAAGAGTGCTGGTTATAGAATTTTCTGGAGTTTAAATATGCTCTAGAGGTTTCCCATTGGCTACTTGGCTTACTCCCTATGTAAATAAAGTAGTGGCCTGCAATCAGTCTGATTGGTCGTGGAAGGCAACCAATCAGAGGCTGAAGTGAAGTTACAAAGTTACATCCCTATGCAAATGAAGACTAGACCCTTGACCAGTCTGATTGTTGCAGGAGGGAACCAATCAGAAGTACTTTCCATTTCTCATCTGCAATGCAGAAAAAGGTGGGGTTGTAAAGGGTGTACCCTCTGTCCTTTTGTTCTTGGGCTTGGGAAGTCGAGGTTGCTTTAGAGTGGTCAAAGGGCAGGGCTGGGGCAGACCCCAGGGGCAGTATGGAGGCCCCCCAGTATGTGTCCTGGAGGAGCCGAGCTCTCACACTCGGAATCTGTCCATCCCTGAGTTAGCACCCAGTTGCCTGGAACCCCCTCCTCCCCACAACGACCCCATGACCTGTGCAGAGTGGGTGCCCTCAGCACCTGCAGCCTCTCCCTATCCTGATAGCAGCCATTTTTCTTATTTTCTCAATAACTCAGGAGGACACACCCTCACCTGTGGACCTAGCTCTTTTTTTTTTTTTTTTTCAAATTATACTTGAAGGTCTGGAATACATGTGCAGAATGTGCAGTTTTGTTACATAGGTGTACATGTGCCATGGTGATTTGCTGCACCTGTCAACCTGTCATCTACATTAGGTATTTCTCTAATGCTGTTCCTCCCCTTACCCCTGAGCCCCCCAACAGGCCTCGGTGTGTGATGTTCCCCTCCCTGTGTCTATGTGTTCTCAATATTCACTGAGAGACCTCTGTTCTGTTCCATTGGTCTATCTGTTTTGGTACCAGTACCATGCTCTTTTGGTTACTGTAGCCTTGTAGTATAGTTTGAAGTCAGGTAGCATGATGCCTCCAGCTTTGATCTTTTTGCTTAGCATTCTCTTGGCAATATGGGCTCTTTTTTGGTTCCGTATGAACTTTAGAGTAGTTTTTTCTAATTCCATGAAGAAAGTCAATGGTAGCTTGACGAGAATAGCATTGAATCTATACATTACTTTGGGCAGTATGGCCATTTTCACAATATTGATTTTTCCTATCCATGAACACGGAATGTTTTTCCATTTGTTTGTGTCCTCTCTTATTTGCTTGAGCAGTGGTTTGTAATTCTCCTCGAAGAGGTCCTTCACATCCCTTGTAAGTTGTATTCCTAGGTATTTTATTCTCTTTGTAGCAATTGTGAATGGGAGTTCACTCATGATTTGGCTCTCTGTTTGTCTATTATTGGTGTATAGGAATGCTTGTGATTTTTGCATATTGATTTAGTATCCTGAGACTTTGCTGAAGTTGTTTATCAGTTTAAGGAATTTTGGGGCTGAGATGATGGGGTTTTATAAATATACAATCATGTCATCTGCAGACAGAGACAATTTGACTTCCTCTCTTCTTATTTGAATACCTTTATTTCTTTCTCTTGCCTGATTGCCTCGGCCAGAACTTCCAATACTATGTTGAATAGGAGTGGTGACAGAGGGCATCTTTGTCTTATGCCAGTTTTCAAAGGGAATTCTTCCAGATTATGCCCATTCAGTATGATATTGGCTGTGGGTTTGATAAAAATAGCTCTTATTATTTTGAGATACATCCCATCGATACCTAGTTTATTGAGTGTTTTTAGCATGAAGATGTGTTGAATTTTATCAAAGGCCTTTTCTGCGTCTGTTGAGATAATCATGTGGTTTTTGTCATTGGTTCTCTTTATGCGATGGATTACGTTTGTTGATTTGCATATGTTGAACCAGCCTTGCATCCCAGGGATGAAGCTGACTTGATCATGGTGGATAAGCTTTTTGATGTGCTGCTGGATGTGGTTTGCCACTATTTTATTGAGGATTTTCGCATCGATGTTCATCAGGGATATTGGCCCGAAATTTTCTTTTCTTGTTGTGTCTCTGCCAGGTTTTGGTATCAGGATGATGCTGGCCACATAAAATGAGTTAGAGAGGACTCCCTCTTTCTCTATTGATTGAAAGAGTTTCAGAAGGAATGGTACCAGTTCCTCTTTGTACCTCTGGTAGAATTCAGCTGTGAATCTGTCTGGTCCTGGGCTTTTGTTGGTTGGTAGGCTATTAATTACTGAATCAGTTTCAGAACTTGTTATTGGTCTATTCCAGGATTTGACTTCTTCCTGGTTTAGTCTTGGGAGGGTGTATGTGTCCAGGAATGTATCTATTTCTTCTAGATTTTCTACTTTATTTGCATAGAGGTGTTTATAGTATTCTCTGATGGTAGTTTGTATTTCTGTGGGATCAGTGGTGATATCCCCTTTATCCTTCTTTATTGTGTTTATTTGATTCTTCTCTCTTTTCTTCTTTATTAGTCTGGATAGTGGTCTATCTATTTTGCTAATCTTTTTTAAAAACCAGCTCCTGGATTCATTGATTTTTTGAAGGGCTTTTTGTGTCTCTATCTCCTTCATTTCTGCTCTGATCTTAGTTATTTCTTGTCTTCTTCTAGCTTTTGAATGTGTTTTCTCTTGCTTCTCTAGTTCTTTTAATTGTGATTTCAGGGTGTCGATTTTAGATCTTTCCCACTTTCTCATGTGGGCATTTAGTGCTATAAATTCCCCTCTAAACACTGCTTTATCTGTATCCCAGAGATTCTCATAGGTTGTGTCTTTGTTCTCATTGGTTTCAAAGAACTTATTTATTTCTGCCTTAATTTTGTTATTTACCCAGTAGTCATTCAGGAGCAGATTATTCAGTTTCCATGTAGTTGTGCAGTTTTGAGTGAGTTTCTTAATCCTGAGTTCTAATTTGATTGCACTGTGGTCTGAGAGACTGTTCGTTATGATTTCCATTCTCTTGCATTTGCTGAGGAGTGTTTTATTTCCAGTTATGAGGTCAATTCTAGAATAAGTGCTATGTGGTGCTGAGAAGAATGTATAGTCTATTGATTTGTGGTGGAGAGTTCTGTAGATGTCTATTAGGTCTGCTTGGTGCAGAGCTGAGTTCAAGTCCTGAATATCCTTGTTAATTTTCTGTCTTGTTGATCTGTCTAATATTGACAGTGGGGTGTTAAAGTCTCCCACTATTATTGCGTGGGATTCTAAGTTTCTTTGTAGGTCTTTAAGAACTTGCTTTATGAATCTGGATGTTCCTGTATTGGGTGCATATATATTTAGGACAGTTAGCTCTTCTTTTGCATTGATGCCTTTACTATTATATAATGCCCTTCTTTGTCTTTTTTTTTATCTTTGTTGGCTTAAAGTCTGTTTTATCAGAGACTAGGATTGCAACTCCTGCTTTTTGTTTGTTTGTTTGCTTGCTTTCCATTTGCTTGGTAAATATTCCTCCATCCCTTTATTTTGAGCCTAAGTGTGTCTTTGCACATGAGATGGGTCTCACGCACCAATGAGTCTTGACGCTTTATCCAATTTATCAGTCTGTGTCTTTTAATTGGGGCACTTAGCCCATTTATATTTAAGGTTAATATTGTTATGTGTGAATTTGATGCCATCATTATGATGTTACCTGGTTATTTTGCACATTAGTTGTTGCAGTTTCTTCATAGTGTCGATGGTCTTTACATTTTGGTATGTTTTTGCAGTGGCTGGTACTGGTTTTTTCTTTCCATATTTAATGTTTCCTTCAGGAGCTTTTGTAAGGCAGGCCTGGTGGTGACAAAATCCCTCAGCATTTGCTTGTCTATAAAGGATTTTATTTCTCCTTTGCTTATGAAGCTTTATTTCGCTGGATATAAAATTCTGGGTTGAAAACTGTTTTCTTTAAGAATGTTGAATATTGGCTCCTACTCTCTTCTGGCTTGTAGAGTTTCTGCAGAGAGATCCGCTGTTAGTCTGATGGGCCCTTCAGATTGAGAAATCCTTAGATTGGAGTCACTTCAAATCCAGAAGTTATGAGGACTGAGCTGGGCAATCTTCATTCCATAATACATTTTTTGAAAAGTACATGCCCTTCCTATTCTATGAAAAGCTGCCCTGGCCTCAGAGATGAACACAACTGGCAAGCCTGCTCATGTAGTTTGGATGTTTCTCCCCTCCAAATCTCATGTTGAAATGTAATCCCCAATGTTAAAGGTGGGGCCTGGCTGGGTCATGAGGGCAGGTCCCTCATGAATGGCTAGGTCCTGTCCTCATGATAGTGAGTGATTTTGTACAAGGTCTGGTTATTTAGAAGTGTGTGGTGCCAGGCACAGTGGCTCATGCTTGTGATCCCAGAACTTTGGGAGACTGAGGGAGGAGGATTACCTGAGGTCAGGAACTCAAGACCAGCCTGGCCAACATGGTGAAACTCCATCTGTACTAAAAATACAAAAATTCGCCAGACTTGATGGTGCACACCTGTAATCCCAGCTACTTGGGAGGCTGAGGTAGAAGAATAGCTTGAACTCAGGAAGCAGAAGTTGCGGTGAGCTGAGATTGTGCCACTGCATTCCAGCCTGAATGACAGGGTGAGACTGTCATGGAGTGACACCTCCCCCCTGCCACTTACTACCACTCTCACCATGTGTTATATCTATTCCTCTTCCCTTTCTGCCACAAGTAAAAGCTTCACTGGAAGCCAAATAAATGCTGTCACCCTGTTTCTTGTGCATCATGCAGAAACATGAGCCAATTAACTTCTTTTTTTGCAAATTATCTGGTCTCAGGTATTTCTTTATAGCAACACAAAAGTGGCCTAATACACCTGCCTTCCCCCCAATACATAGAAGTTTATATGAGGAACAGGGACTGATCTTTATAAAGCCACAAAGAGTGCTAAGAAAGAATCTCACAAAAGTCCACAGGAGAAAAATTCAACCTGATGATGAGGTTGCAAAATCTGCGAGCTGAGAAGGAGTTCCTATTGTGGGTCCCACAGAGATGTCTGGGAGAACTCCAAGGTCACCATAGGGTGGTCTGGGGTGAAAGAGAGGTGCCACCTTATCCTTACAGATTGTCACCTGAGCAAAGACTCTTGATCTTCTGCAGAGGGTCAGGGCCATCCCCTGGATGGTTTCCTTTGCACACCTCATGGTGGAACCTGAGAGCTGGCTGGGATCTCTGGGAAGGAACATGGCCCCAGGCCCCAGGAAACTCTCAGTCATTCATCTCCTCTCTTTGTCCACAGGGTCAGTGGCTCACTCCTCCTTCTGAACCAGCAGCTTACCTCCAGCAAAATGATCCTTTCAGGCTGACTGTGAAATAGCAGACATCTGAGTCCTCTGTTATAGGTTATTAAATCTAAAATCAAATTTTTCTCTGCTTGGAGGCATTTTATTATAAAAAGTTGGTACTCGTACACATAAACTAATATAAACTTGAAATTTACTATACATTTACATTTCTTAGCTTGTCCTTACAGTAAATTTTTAGCTTCATTGATCTTGGCTATTATATAAAGAGACCCTCTTTTGTCTGGGTGATTTAAGAGCATAACATGTTGATAAGAACCTCTTACTGTTTCCTTTATTGGCGTTAGGGCTTACATCTAGTATTAGTGCTGCTTCCTGTTTTGTCATTTTGGGTTCAACCCCACCTCTGTCGTAATAACCTCTGAAAAATATTTTGGTAGACTTTGAAAAACTTGTTTTACTTGAGGCTTTCTGTGCTTCGTGGCTTGCCAAACATAACAGCTTGCAAATCCTGCAGCAGCAGTCGGTACAGCTGCTACCACTGCACAGGCCATGGCTCCAGCCTGGCTCCCCTGCTTCCACCAGGAGGGTGGATCATCCCAGCCCAGAGGCCGCACCCACTACCTACTTGGCTTTACCAGAGAGCAATGCAGCAGCGACCACAGTAGTCACAAATTGCCCAAGCACCTTTTTCCTTTTTAAAGTGGTGGTGATGATGCATTTACTTTATTGAGCTGTTGTGAATAGTCAATGAAATCAGGTGACTTGCATTGAGTCCATAAATACTAAACACTGTGGACTGACGTTGTCATTGTTGGCTTAAGGTCCCATTCAACACCAGATACCACTGTTTGTCTCAGTTGCACCATCTCCACAGTGGTGGCAACATCGTTTCCCTCAGAGGATGGACCATAATTGTGTTTGAGGGTGAGAACATGTTATCAGAGGGAAGGAAAACTCCTGGTCTGTGGAAGGGCCACAGTGTCCCTCTAAGCCAAGTCACAACATTGTTTGAGAAAGTACCAACCAAATTTCCGCTGTGTTCACTGAGCCTGAGTCTGAGACATTCACCTGTTTCTCCCATTACAGGCTGTGGACCCCAAGCCTCCCATGACAGGAGCAGTCCCTCTCCACCTATTTTTGGTCAGGGCTGTGCCCTTCCGGGTTTGCCTGGGGCAGGAAGTCACAGCCAGCCTGGGTATCCAAGGGCAGGGGTCTGTGTTCTTGGACCCAAGGGGAAGTGAATGGTTTGAGCTCTGGCTATGTGGATTTGAGCTGGCAGCCTGAGCCCCAGAAGAAGAGAAGATACACGGGACATTCAGGCTAACTGGGTCGCTGCAGTCGGCATTCACTGGGTTCTGGGTTCCACTCTCATAGAGTCCTGTGTCACTACCTGTGACACTGAGTAAAGTGAAGGTCCTGTTGCCCTTGGACATCTTCAGCCTGGGACTGGCCAGGAAGCTCTGACCCCTTACTCACCACAGGTATGTTGTGTCCTGAGTCTCAGGTTCACAGTTTAACCTACAGAGTCTTTGTCCTCCACGGGGGTCCTGTTGCCTTGATGGAGGGCTTTGTAAGCTCTACTGTGCAGATAACAGAGAGAAGACTGCCCTATGGGGCACCCTGATTACTCCATAGTGAACATGGAACGCATATAGCATGCACGTTTTCTTATCAAACTTGTGTAAGTCAAACCTTCATGAATATTAATAGCTCCTCCTAAACCCTATTGAATGTCTACTTGGCCAACCTGTTCAGCGTCAAACCCTGTTCCACCCTCCCTCCTTCAAGTGCCTGCTATTGGTCTCTGCAGGAAGCTGCACTTGCTAGCCTGAGGAATGGCCAGCAGGCAGGCTGTAATATTTTATAAAAAATAAAGGCACCAGGTGCAATAGTTCAGGCATGTAATGCCAGTCCTTTGGGAGGCCATAGAGGGAGGATTGCTAGAGGATAGGAGTTGGAGACCACCCTGGGCAACATAGCAAGACCCCATCTCTAAAACAATTTTTTAAAAAATTAGCAGAGCATGGTAGCAAGTGTCTGTAGTCTCAGCTATGATGGAGGCTGGTGTCCTCTCCCTTATTCCCACTTCAGCAGAAACCCTCGATCCCTCTCAGAGCCCTGCCCTCCCCAGGAGACCACTGCCAGTCTCTATTCTCCCTCCTCCCACCCACTCCCAGAGAATCTTCCCCTCACCTATTACCAAGAGCCCCTGCCAGGGAATGAATCCTCTGCGGGGAGGGGCTGAGGGGGTCCCAGGGTCTCTGCTGCCTGCTCTGTCCTCCACTGTGGAGAAGAGCTTGGGCTCCAGAAATGCTCCCAAGCATGGCTGCTCTGACTGTCAGCTGTGCTGTTTGTGCTGAAACTCCTCCCAGGGCACTTCCCAGGTGGGCCTGAGGTGTGGTCTCAGCCCAGGATGCTTCTCTGTCCCCTCCCTTCTCACACTTGCCTCCTTTTTCTTTGCCTTTTCCTTCACTTCTGTCTACATTTTGGCTCCCCCAGAACATGCTTTGAGAAGCAACTCTTATTTGGACCGCTGTACCATAACAGGATGAGCTGCGTTCCTCTGCGCTGACCTCTGCTGTGTCCTGGGTGTGGATCTCTTATGCACCACGCAGAGAGTCCCTAGGGTCCCCCAACCCAGCTTTTTCCTCTATGACACAGAAACCCCTCTGTGCATTCAGAGTCTTCCTAGTGTTCTCTAATGGCTGGGAAAGTTGGATTTACTCCCAACAAGGAGGTCACAGAGATGTCCAGGGAGAGGGTTCCTAGAAATGCACACATGGGGCTAAAACCCATGTCTAAGATTCTTAGTTTTCCTTTATGCAGCACTATGAGACTTTAATTTTATAGACATAACTGAAGATGAAGCTGCCTGGTGCTATAGTATTATGTCTCCCAAGCCTCAGATATTTATAGACCATCTCTATAATGTTTTCTACAGTTTGTACCATCTTTATTATTATTGACTTCATACATTTTTTCTAAATAAATTTACTTTACAAAACACCCTTGTCCCAGCAGCGTGCAATGGCTTACATTGTAATCCCAGGTACTTGAGAGGCTAAGATGGGGGGATCACTTGAAGCCAGGAGTTTGAAACAAAACATCCCCGTCCTTTGCAATATTGTCCATGAAATTAAAGGTTTTGTGAATTTGCTTAAAATTGTTTCTAACATGCATTAAAATAAACATATAACTATTAAAGTTTCTTAAAAGCTTATTTATGTTCCACCTAAAGTCAGTTTTGGGAAACACTGATACAGTGGAATAACCATGGACTTTTTATATCCAGAGAGACCTGGGACTCACTACTGGTTCTGTCACTTAACTGTGTCATCTTGCACGAGTCACTTGGCTTCTTTGATCCTCGATTCCATAATTTTTAAAATGATGATGATAAAATCCACTTTGCAAGCTGTTAGGAATAAGATTTGCTTCAGTCAGGAGGTGGAGGTTGCAGTGAGCTATGATTGCACCACTGCACTCCAGCTTGGATGACGGAGCAAGACTCTGTCAATGAAAAAGAAAAGAAAGAGAGAGAGAAAAGAAAGAGTTACTTCCACTTGTTAGGACTTGTGGTGCGTCTGCCATTGTTTTCATTTCCCAGTTCCACTACCTATGTGCTCTGTGATTTTGATCAAGTTGCCTAACTTTTCCTCATTTACCTAATTTGTAAAATGTGGGGTTTACCAGTACACTAGTGTGAGTGTTATTTCCCAGCTCTGACCACTAGAGGGCGTAGGAGCATCGGCACCCACTGGCAATGGATGTGTCGGTGCCCATGGTTTACCAACATCATTCTCCCATGAAAGGAACCAGGGCTCCCTGGAGAAATAGCTGATCCAGGGCTGGGGCAGGAAAGCACAAGAGAAGCCCGGAGCTTTTTGTGAGGCCAGAAAGTAAGGAACCACTCGAAAAATTATGGGAATGTTTCAAAAGATTACAGGGAGCTTAGAATTACCAATTTTGGGACAACATGAGCAACATAATAATGATAGCAATGGATTCCAACCCATAAATATCCATGAGTCCATGCTGATATAAATAATTGAACAAAGAAATAAATAAGGAAGAAGAAATAGCTCTTTCTTATAGCAGAATTCCAATTAATAAATGTAGAAGGAATTATGGAAATAAAAAATCACTATTTGGCTAACACCACAGTAATAATTGTTTATAGGCCAGAATCAAGAACCATCCACAGATTCTAAAAATTAATGGGTAAAGGTAAGATGATGCTGTAACTATTGAGTATGAAGGAGGGGTCAGGGGAAGTAAGGTGAGAAGAAACAGGCTACTGGTTTGTTCCCAAAGTATCTGTCCACAAGATACTTATTAATTACAATGAGATGAATAGTAACTTTATAGTAGAGAAACCTGGCAAACACCACCTGAACCAAGCGCTTAAAGTGAACCTCATCGGTAATGAGAGATATGGACATCCTGGGGCTCCAGGTGGGATGTCCTGAGAAAGACACATCACTTCTGTGCTAATCTTACCCAAAATGCATAACCTAAAACATCCCAAGGAAACAGGAGACAAACCCAAATTGAGAGGCATTCTACAAAACAACTGACCAGACCTCCTCAAAAGTGTCAAGGTCCTGAGAGAGGGAAAGAGTGGGAAACTCCCCCAGGTTGGAGGAGGCCTAGGAGATGTGACAGTGTTATTCAGTGTCAGATCTTGGATTGGATTTGGGAGCAGAAAAAGGACATGAGTGGGATGATTAGCAAAATTTGAATATTTGTAGATCCCCTTGGTTAATGTTATTGCACCAATGCTAGTTCCCTGATATGAACAATTATATTAGTTATAGAAGATGTTATTTGAAAAAAAAAGCTGGATAAAGGATAAACTGGAACCCTATTTTTAAAGATTTTTGAATGTTTAAAAATAAACATGATAAATGAGGCCGGGTGTGGTGGCTCACGCCTGTAATCCCAGCACTTTGGGAGGCCGAGGTGGGCGGATCACGAGTTCAGGAGATCGAGACCATCCTGGCTAACACGGTGAAACCCCATCTCTACTAAATATACAAAAAGTTAGCCGGGCGTGGTGGCGGGCGCCTGTAGTCCCAGCTACTCGGGAGGCTGAGGCAGGAGAATGACGTGAACCCGGGAGGCAGAGCTTGCAGTGAGCCGAGATCACGCCACTGCACTCCAGCCTGGGCGACAGAGCAGGACTCCATCTCAAAATAATTAATTAATTAATTAATTAATTTAATTAGATTAAATAAATAAACGTGATAAATGAAAAGTCAAAATTTTAAAAATGCTTTAGATTTCTGTGAGGCCAAAATGAGTGTATAGTGCTTAGAACAATGCTTGTGACATAGGAGTTCTTAACATGTCAGCTATTATTATAAGTACTTTTATAATTAATAAGTAATGTTATAAGGAAAGAGTAATCTGTTATTATAAGTAATTTATTTCCTAATGTCCTCATATATTCTCATATTTTTTTCCTCTCTGCTGTTAAATCCATATAGAGCATGTACTTGGTTATTTTAAGATATAAGATTAGAGGAGGTCGCGGCGCCGGAGGCCCCAGAAGGGTCGAAGGCGCCGCGGGCTGGGGTCGGTGGCTTAGGGAGCCCGTCTGGCCATGGTGGCCGCGGCTGGTGGTTGGCGCGGCTGCGCTGCGGCCCGGGGCAGTGCGGAGCCAGGACAGTCGCGGCGCTGACGCCCGCGGGCCCCAGCTGCAGATATGAAGCGGAGCCGCTGCCGCGACCGACCGCAGCCGCTGCCGCGACCGACCGCAGCCGCCGCCGCGACCGACCGCAGCCGCCGCCGCCCGACCGCCGGGAGGATGGAGTTCAGCGGGCAGCGGAGCTGTCTCAGTCTTTGCCGCCGCGCCGGCGAGCGCCGCCCGGGAGGCAGCGGCTGGAGGAGCGGACGGGCCCCGCGGGGCCCGAGGGCAAGGAGCAGCCGCCTGCCTTGGCCTCCCAAAGTGCCGAGATTGCAGCCTCTGCCCGGCTGCCACCCCGTCTGGGAAGTGAGGAGTGTCTCTGCCTGGCTGCCCATCGTCTGGGATGTGAGGAGCCCCTCTGCCTGGCTGCCCAGTCTGGAAAGTGAGGAGCGTCTCCGCCCGGCCGCCATCCCATCTAGGAAGTGAGGAGCGCCTCTTCCCAGCCGCCATCACATCTAGGAAGTGAGGAGCGTCTCTGCCCGGCCGCCCATCATCTGAGATGTGGGGAGCGCCTCTGCCCCGCCGCCCCATCTGGGATGTGAGGAGCGCCTCTGCCCGGCCGAGACCCCGTCTGGGAGGTGAGGAGCGTCTCTGCCTGGCCGCCCCGTCTGAGAAGTGAGGAGACCCTCTGCCTGGCAACCACCCCGTCTGAGAAGTGAGGAGCCCCTCCGCCCGGCAGCTGCCCCGTCTGAGAAGTGAGGAGCCTCTCCGCCCAGCAGCCACCCCATCTGGGAGGGAGGTGGGGGGGGGCCCCCCCCACCCGGCCAGCCGCCCCGTCCGGTAGGGAGGTAGGGGGGTCAGCCCCCCGCCTGGCCAGCCGCCCCGTCCGGGAGGGAGGTGGGGGGGTCAGCCCTCCGCCCGGCCAGCCGCCCCGTCTGGGAGGTGAGGGGCGCCTCTGCCCAGCCGCCCCTACTGGGAAGTGAGGAGCCCCTCTGCCCGGCCAGCCGCCCCGTCCGGGAGGGAGGATGAGGGGGGGGTCAGCCCCCCCGCCCAGCCAGCCGCCCTGTCCGGGAGGTGAGGGGCGCCTCTGCCCGGCCGCCCCTACTGGGAAGTGAGGAGCCCCTCTGCCCGGCCAGCCGCCCCGTCCGGGAGGGAGGTGGGGGGGTCGGCCCCCCGCCCAGCCAGCCGCCCCGTCCGGGAGGGAGGTGGGGGGGTCGGCCCCCCGCCCGGCCAGCCGCCCCGTCCGGGAGGGAGGTGGGGGGGTCGGCCCCCCGCCCGGCCAGCCGCCCCGTCCGGGAGGTGAGGGGCGCCTCTGCCCGGCCGCCCCTACTGGGAAGTGAGGAGCCCCTCTGCCCGGCCACCACCCCGTCTGGGAGGTGTGCCCAACAGCTCATTGAGAACGGGCCAGGATGACAATGGCGGCTTTGTGGAATAGAAAGGCGGGAAAGGTGGGGAAAAGATTGAGAAATCGGATGGTTGCCGTGTCTGTGTAGAAAGAAGTAGACATGGGAGACTTTTCATTTTGTTCTGCACTAAGAAAAATTCCTCTGCCTTGGGATCCTGTTGATCTGTGACCTTACCCCCAACCCTGTGCTCTCTGAAACATGTGCTGTGTCCACTCAGGGTTAAATGGATTAAGGGCGGTGCAAGATGTGCTTTGTTAAACAGATGCTTGAAGGCAGCATGCTCGTTAAGAGTCATCACCAATCCCTAATCTCAAGTAATCAGGGACACAAACACTGCGGAAGGCCGCAGGGTCCTCTGCCTAGGAAAACCAGAGACCTTTGTTCACTTGTTTATCTGCTGACCTTCCCTCCACTATTGTCCCATGACCCTGCCAAATCCCCCTCTGTGAGAAACACCCAAGAATTATCAATAAAAAAATAAATTAAAAAAAAAAAAAAAAAAAAAAAAGAATGGACTTTCCCAGGCCAGCTGTGGTGGCTCACGACTGTAATCCCAGCACTGTGGCAGGCCAAGGCGGGCAGATCACCTGAGATCAGGAGTTCAAGACCAGCCTGACCAACACGGAGAAACCCCGTCTCTACTAAAAATAAAAAACATTAGCTGGGCGTGGTGGTGCATGCCTGTAATCCCAGCTACTTGGGAGGCTGAGGCAGGAGAATTGCTTGAACCCAGGAGGCAGAGGTTGTTGTGAGCTGAGATTGCACCATTGCACTCCAGCCTGGGCAACAAGAGGGAAACTCCATCAAAAAAAAAAAAAAAAAAAAGGACTTTCTCAAAGAAAATGTATTTAAATGTCTGCACCAATAATTCCAGCATGTGTATGAATAAATATGATATGTCCTTTAAAAAAAAAAAAAAAAAAGATATAAGATTAGGTCTGACGTGGTGGCTCACACCTGTAATCCCAGTGCTTTGGGAGGCCAAGGCAGGCGGATCACTTGAGGTCAGGTGTTGGAGACCAGCCTGGCCAACATGGTGAAACCTCGCCTCTACTAAAAATACAAAAATTAGCGGGTGTGGTAGGCGCGTACCTGTAATCCCAGCTACTTGGGAGGCTGAGGAGGGAGAATCGCTTGAACATGGGAGACTGAGGTTGCAGTGAACAGAGATGGCACCTCTGCACTCCAGCCTGGACAACAGAGCAAGGCTCCGTTTCAAAAAAAAAAGACATAAAATAAGATTAGATTTTATTTTGAGAATTATTTTAGGGATAGAGGAGCTATTATTTCCTTTAGCCACTAACAGTAGCTGAAATTCAGGCCGGATTGCAAAACTTTGCTTGGCTGAGAAACAAAGCTTGAGCCAGGCTGCCACCCACCCCACGCGGTTTGTGATGGCGCCCCCTGGCGGCGCAGCGAGCTTTCCGGTTCCTCAACCTCGTGCTTTAGGAGCGATATTTTATTTTATTTTATTTTATTTTATATATTGTTAGTTCAATAGTTTTTGGTTACATGGATAAGTTCTTTAGTGGTCATTTCTGATATTTTGGTGCACCCATCACCCAAGCTGTGTACACTGTACCCAATGTGTAGTCTTTAATCCCTCACCCTTCTCCCACCCCTTCCCGCTAAGTCCCCAAAGTCCATTACATTATCCCGATGCCTTTGCATTCTCATAGTTTAGTTCCCACTTATAATTGAGAACATGTGATATTTGTTTTTCCATTCCTGAGTTTCTTAGAATAATGGCCTCCAGCTCCATTCGAGTTGCTGCAAAAGACCATAATTTCTTTCCTTTTTATGGCTGAGTTAGTAGTCCATGTTGTATATATACCACCTTTTCTTTATCCACTTGTTGGTTGAGGGGCACTTAAGTTGGTAGGAGCGACTTTAGAAATTCCACTCAGTCTATTCCTTGAACGCTTTCTAGCTCACATTGTGGATCCTTTAATCTTCACAACATGTCTCTGTAAGAAGTGGTATTTTTAACATTTATTTTATTTATTATTTATTAATTTATTTTGACAGGGCCTCGCTCTGTCATCCAGGCTGGAGTGCAATGGTGCAACTATGCTCACCGCAGCCTCAACCACCTCCAGTTCATATAACCCTCTGCCTCCGCCTTCCAGTAGCTGGAACCTCAAGGGCACACCACCGCACCTGGCTAATTTTTTAAAAAATTTTCTAGAGACAGGGTCTCACTTTGTTGCCAGGGCTGGTCTCAAATGCCTAGCTTCAAGTGCTCCTCCTGTTTCAGCCTCCCAAAGTGCTGGGGTTACAAGCTTGAGCCACCAAAGCTGGCTAAGAAGGAGTATTTAATCCTCTTAAGATGATAAAACTGAGGTTCAAAAGAGTAAAGCAACTTGCCCAGGGTTGCAAAGGGAGTGGCAGAGCCAGAATTTGGACCTAGGTCCCCCTGACTTCCAGGCTGAGTATAAATGTCTAGGTGAATCTAAATGTGTATCCAGGTAGAGAAGTATTGGTGTAGAGCAGGTGTTGTCAATTGGGGGTGGTTTCCCCCACAGAGACAGTTGGCAATGTCTGGAGATATTTTTAGTTTTCATAACAGGGGTGGGGATGGGAGAGATGGAAGGCTGCTATTGGCATCTAGTGAAGAAAGGCCACGTGGATGCTGCTGAACAATGCACAAGGCACAGAACAGCCCCCACCACAAGCAATTGTTCAGCCCAAATATCAGCAGAACTGCTATGAAGCCCTGGTTGGACTTAGAAACCTGAAGATGCATTCTTGCAGTTAGCTAATGTTTGCCAAGTACTGAGCTGGACAACGTGAGGGATATGGAAACAGTGCACCACTTTGTGCTGCCAAGGAGGCTGCAGCCTAGAAGGTCAGGGGTTGGAGGCAGGAGAGGCGCATGAAGGCCTTCAACATAAGGCAGCAGATGATAAGTGTCAAGAACAGAGTGTCCAGTAGGGCTAGGCCAGCTCTCAGGAGGGAGACCACATGTCTGGCTGTGGGAGAAACTGAGGGAAGCTGTGGAAAGGTGGTTTTGAGCTGGGTGTGTGAGCAAAGTTGAGCTGATGGGAAAACACAAGACCTGTTCAGGGAAGGGCAAAAAGTCTAGTTTGGGTGGGGAGAGAGTATTTTTTTATTGAGTAGAGAGGGAAATGCTGGAAAAGCAGGTTGGGGCTAGAGCTTTGAGTCCAGGCTAAGGACTCAAGCCTGGGTGTCTGTCACAGAGATGGAAAAGCCTTTCCTCTCAGAATGGTTGTCTAGACCGTAGGGCTACGGGGCTCAGCAGTTTCCCGAGTGCTCTCTCTACAAAGGAGGGGACATTGGAAATTGTAGTGTAGGAGGGTGAACATCTCCTGATTTTAGGACCAATTTCATGCTGAGTATGTGACAAACCCATTTCACATCAAAGTGGCCCTTGGGTAGATGGTGTTCCCAAGTGAAAATTTACATGGGGTGAGCTCTCTTCTGCGTGGTTGCTCTGTGAAAGCCTGGGCCACTTTATACTGAAAACCCAGAGCAGACTTGAAGCCCCTAAGCAAAGGTTTGCTACCCTAAAGGTGAGTTGCTACAGCAGGACTTGCTATGGATAAAGTTGCAAATATGGACACTACCTGGTGACAGGATTTTTCTAGTTTATTACTTTACCATTAAATAGCATTAAGACATGTTTGTGGCATGTATGGTACACTGTAAAGACTATAAGTAAGGATTTCCTGACCTTCTATACATGTACAGTTGCCTTTAACAACCTCCCACCTCTGCCACCATGTTTGGCCCCAGAGAAATGCATTACTCTTCTGGAAAAGGGGTTAGAGGAGAAGGCAAGAGAGCAAATATTTGTTGAGCTAGCGTGTGTGTGTGTGTGTGTGTGTGTGTGTGTGTGTGTGTATTTGCCAGCTACCGTTGTGGACACTTTCCCATACAGTATCTTAACTCTCTTGACACCGTTTGTATATAAGTACAGTTTACTTCTTTTGATAAAGGAGGAAGCTGGCACTGGAAAAGACTAACTTGCCCTAATCCCCTGTAGCTGAAAGAAGCTACATTTTGATGCATGTGTGGCCCACTATGCCACATTTTCTCCTCCCTTTTTTCCATTCATAGGCAATTAATCTTATCCACCTGGACTTGGGCTGCTAGAGACCATGGTCATTAGCATTAGTGGCAGCAACAGAAGGAGGAAAGAGATTAGAACTTTCATTGTGATTGTTGGTGCAGCTGTAAGTCATTTGAAGACTGTATGGAAGTTTCCCGGTTGGAGGCTCCTGATCTCTGGGGATGGCTCAGGCCAGGGTACTCAGCCCGGTGGTCTGCACTTTAGTCCCAGGTCAGTGTTTCCATCTGAGGGCAAGAGCAGGTGAGGTGATGCTGGCCTTACTGTTAAGTAACAGATTAGACGATGTGCTTTCCAGAAATGTAGGAGATAAAATTCCTCAAACAAAAAAATAAGACAGAAGGTGTTGCAGCAGAGAGTTTAATACTTGCAAGATGGCCAAGCAAAGAGGATGGGAGATATTTTTCAAATCTGCCTCCCCAAGAATTTGGAGACTAGGGTTTTAAAGGAGTGTTTGGAGAGCAGGGGACTAGGAAATGGACACGGCTGATTGGTTGGGCTGGAAATGAAATCATCGGGTGTCAAAATTGTCTTGTGCACTGAGTAAGTTCCTGGGTGGAGCTCACAGGACCAGTTGAGTCAGTTTCTTAGTGTAGGTCAACAGTCTGGGTGGTGTCAATTGATCCACCAGAATGCAAAGTCTAAACAATATCTCAAACTCCAGCCTTAAATTTCACAATAGCAATATAATCTATAGGAGCAATTAAAGAACATATAAATCTTGTGCCCACTGGCTACGTGACTCCTGAGCAGCAGGTAATTATAAAAACAAAAAAAAAGATGGGGAACAATGACTGTTTGCTGTTTAACTCTGCCTATATCTTAGCTAAATTCAGGCCCCTACCATAATTCTAACCTTGCAACATTTCATTTGTTTTACAAAGTTGGTTTCAATTCCAGAACAAGAAGGGGATTAGTTAAACTATAAATTCCTTCTATAGTTAGGCTGGCCTATGTACAGGAATAAGCAAAGGTGGATAGTTTGTGAAGTTAGAAGCAAGATGGAGCCAGTTACATTGGATTTCTCTCACTATTAAAATTTTCCAAGGGTGGTTTCAGTTCCCCCTGGGCTTAAGCATTCCTTATTCCTGAGGTGTGAGCAGATGATGAGATGGAAGGGGTTGATAACCACTCTAACTTCTTCCTGATGATAGGGGGCATCATTGGGGTTTATTCCAGGATAGGAGAAATGAAACTGTCTTGCTGTCGTCTTCCTATATTCACGAATGCCTGGTTGGGGACCCAAGTTTTGCATGACAAGGATATTAGTATTCACATCCCCAGCCGCAGCACAGTACTTAAGTGAACAGCAGACTGTAAGTGTTGAGCCCTAATATAAAGAGTGAAAGCCCAAGTCTCAAGAGTTCTTGTGGAACTGATCTGAAATTTTAAGGCATCCAGATAAATAACACCGAGAACCAATCAGACATGGGGTCACCGGTAAAGACCTGCTGTAACCATGAAGTTTCTTGGGAATTTCTTTCTATCCAGATTTCAACTTCTCCTGAGGTGTTTATATAGGTGCAACAAGTGGTGTTTCATATTGCACAAATTCCCCTTTGTCTAGCCAACAGGAAATCAAGCACCAACAGATTGTCTAGGACTACGTGAGCTAGCAAACTGAAGGAACTTTGTTGAACCCTAAGGGTTTTTGCAGTTTCTTCTAGACAATCAATCCGAAGGTAGCAGACAGGTTCCTGATCATGTCTCTGTTGCCATAAACACCATAACTAGGAACAAATATCCCTAGAAGGCTCTGCCACCAGGTATCTTGATGTCTGCCTGAAGTCCTCGTTTTGTTCTATGGGGAAATCAGTGGAATTTATCACCATGAAGATAGGCTGAGAAGGGAGTTACAAAATGTCCCGGTAAGCAGGAGCCCTTGATATGCAGGCTATTGAGACACAGGTGGGCTCATCCTAATAGAGCCTGCAGATACCTGTATGAACTGGATGAATTCCTCTCTTTGCAAGGTCCCAAAGTAACTTGGGGTTCCTGGCCTATCAGAAAGTGGCATTCTTTACTTACTTCACATCAGAAATCCTGTAAAGGAACTGCATAGACAAGGTACAAGACCAGCTCTTCCAAGGGGCTTTTATTGGCTCTATAAGTCAACTTCAATTTCTGAATGCAGGCTGCTCATTCCAAAGATAGCTCACTGAAAGGAAAATTCAAGACAGGGAATCAGAAGCTGTCCATGAAAGGGGATAAGATCAATAAATGGCAAAAGTCACAGAGATATCAAACCAGAAAAATCTGCCTGAGCCAGACATCAAACCCAGTCCACTGCAGTGAGAGGGCAAACCTTAGCCACTGAGCTACAGTGTAGGGCAGTCTCCATTGCTATTCCCAGAAGTAATCTAGAGCAGGCAGTGTTCAGCTTACAGAAGATTTTTTTCTAAATTTTTAAATTAATTAAAACATTATAGAGGAGACAAACAGTTATTCCTACCCTTTTGCCAGCTTGTCAGCTTCCTGGATTCCCTTTGTCTGTGGCTTCCAGAAGACCAGAGTTGGGGTCAAGCCATGTTATAAAAGAAAATCATCCTTTTCCACTTCATGGAATCATAAGCAAAAGGCCTCCCAATTTTGCAAGATGCAGCCCAATGGGCTGCACAGGAGAGCCAAATTAACATTTCCCATTCTGGCTGAAGTGATATACACATAACAAAACACAGACACTAGTCACCCAACTCAGCACCCATGTATCAACCTGACAAAGCTCAAACTTGCCCTTGTTGGCCCCTATCATCTTTGATCCATTCAGGGTATGAAGATATAACCTCTGACCAGGAGTTCAATGGGTAGTCTCTGGGAAAGATGGGAAAGTGACTGTCACCCTGAGTTAGGCTGGCTGAGTTTCCACTAGCGATTCCTTCAGAGTTCACCAAATGTGACTACCCAGATAAACAGCTCCCAGAGTTAGGCCTGCTGAGCTTCTGATAACAAGCCCTTCAGGGAATCCCCTCCATAAACATAAATGTACATAACAAGACAAAGACAGATGAATACAAATTCAAGAAGGGAGGGAAAAACCTGCAGTGACCCCATGGTCAGGGCTGAAGGCAGCGAGTGCACTGCGAGCTTTGGGTTTCTGTGGTCAGCAAGCCAGAGCAGCACCTCTTGGGTGGGCTGAGCCCACCCCACACCCTCAGCGCGCTGAAACACAAGAGTTTAGCACTCAAGGGGATGCCCCAAAATGCTGCCGGTGCTGCCCCTGGACAGGACTGTCCTCCAGCACATCCTCAGCCACTGAGGAGCCATCAGCTTCAGCTCCAGCTCCATGTTCTTCAGCTGTCCCAATTCCCGGCAGCTATCCCAGAGGTGTGGAGCTATCTCCTATGACAGTTCTGATCACACTGCATTATACCTCATGTGCTAGGAGATGTACATGTAAGGAGCCAAGCAGGATTTGAATCTGAAAGAAGAGATTCTCAACTATATATTGATTTTCATGTTTTCCACTTGGGCTCTTCATGCCAGAATTAAAAATTTCCCTAGATATTATCTGTCACTAAAAGGTATTTGTGGGAAGATGGTGGACAGGAAGCAGGACTACATTGCAACTCCAGCTCAGAGGGACAGAGTGGTGTGTAGAATCACATTGTGAACTCTTGCTCCAGAACTATTGCAGGAATATACCAGGAAAGCTGAGAGAATCCACAGATCCTCTGAAAGAAGCAGATTGCTCCGGCAGGACCCAGGAGACAGCCCAAATACTGTGCTGGTATCCATGGATGAGAGATCTGAAGATGATTTACATCATAGGTCTCTGTGCAGACACTCCCAGTACCAGCCTGGAGCCTGGTAGCCTTGCTAGGTGGCTAGATCCTGAAGAGAAATAACAATCACTAAAATTCAGCTCTCAGGAAGCCATATCCCTCAGAAAAGGGGGAGAGTACTACATCAAGGGAACACCCTGTGGGGCTAAAGAATCTGAACAGCAGCCTTGAGTCCCAGATCTTTCCTCTGACATAGCCTACCCAAATGAAAAAAAAACAAAAAAACAAAAAAAGAAAAACAGAAAAACAACTCTGGTAACATGGCAAAACAAGGTTCTTTAACACCCCCCTCCAAAAAAAAAAAATCACACTAGCTCACCAAAAATGGATCCATACCAAGAAGAAATCCCTGATTTGCCTGAAAAAGAATTCAGACTATAGATTATTAAGCTAATCAAGGAGGCACCAGATAAAGGTGAAGTCTAATTCAAGGAAATCCAAAAAAATGACACAAGATATGAGAGGAGAAATTGTCAGTGCAACAGATAGCATAAATGAAAAACAATAAAAACTTCAGGAAATAAAGAAGACTCTTAGAGAAATGTAAAATGTACTGAAAAGTCTCAGCAATAGAATTGAACAAGCAGAAGAAAGAACTTCAGATATCAAGGATGAGGTTTTCAAATTAATGCAATCCAACAAACACAAGAAAAAAGAATTTAAAAAATGAATAAATCCTCCAAGAAACTTGGTATTGTGTTATACAACCAAACCTCAGAATAATTGGTATTCCTGAGGAAGAAAAGAAATCTAAAAGTTTGGAAAACATATATGGGGAAATAAACAAGAAAAACTTCCCTGGCCTTCCTAGAGACCTACACATCCAAATACAAGAAGCTTAAAGAACACCTGGGAAATTCAATGCAAAAAGATCATCACCTAGGCACATTGTCATCAGGTTATCTAAAGTCAAGATAAAGAATCTTAAGAGCAGCGAGGCAAAAGCACCAGGTAACCTATAAAAGAAAACCCATCAGATTAACAGCAGATTTCTCAGCAGAAACCCTACAAGCTAGAAGGAATTGGGGCCCTATCTTCAGCCTCCTTAAAAAAAAGACAATTATCAGCCAAGAATTTTGTATCCAGCAAAACTAAGCCTCATAAATAAAGAAAAGATACAGTCTTTTTCAGACAAACAAATGCTGAAAGAATTTGACACTACCTAGCCACCACTACAAGAACTGCTAAAAAGGAGCTCTAAATCTTGAAATAAATCCTGGAAACACATCAAAACAGAATGTCTTTGAAACAAATCTCACAAGACCTATAAAACAAAAATACAGTTAAAAAAATTCTAAATCTCAATACTAACATTGAATGTAAATGACCTAAATGCTCCACTTAAAAGACACAGAATTGTAGAATTGATAAAAATTTACCAACCAAGTATCTGCTGCTTTCAAAAGACTCACCTAACACACAAGGACTCACATAAACTTAAGGTAAAGGGGTGGGAAAAGACATTCCATGCAAATGGACATGAAAAGCAAGCAGGAGTAGCTATTCTTATATCAGACAAAACAAACATTAAGGCAACAGCAGTTAAAAAAGACAAAAAGGGACATTATATGATGATAAAAGACCTTATCCAACAGGAAAACATCACAATCTTAAATATATATGCACCTAAATTTATGTTCCCAAATTTATAAAACAATTACTACTAAACCTAAGAAATGAGAGATACAGCAACACAATAATAGTGGGGACCTCAATACTCCACTTTCAGCACTAGACCAGTTATCTGGACCAAAAGTCAACAAAGAAACAATGGATTTAAACTATACCCTGGAACAAATGGACTTAACAGATATTTACAGAACATTCTACCCAACAACCACAGAATATACATTCAATTCACCAGTATGTGGAACGTTCTCCAAGATAGACCATATGATAGGCCACAAAACAAGTCTCCCAGGATCTGAGCAGAAATAAATGAAATTGAAACAAACAAACAGAAACACAAAAGATGAATAAAACAAAACGTGGTTCTTTGAAAAGTTAAATAAAATTGATAGGCCATTAGCAAGATTAACCAAGAAAAGAAGAGAGAAGATCCAAATAAGCTCAATTAGAAATAAAACAGAAGATATTACAACTGACACCACAGAAATACAAAAGATCATTCAAGGCTACTATGAGCACCTTTATGTGCATAAACTAGAAAACCTAGAAAAGGTGGATAAATTCCTGAAAAGATGCAACCTTCCTAGCTTAAATTAGAAAGAGTTAGAAACCCTGAGCAGACCAGTAACAAGCAGCAAGATTGAAATGGTAACCAAAAAATTACCAACAAAAAAAAAAGTCCAGGACCAAACAGATTCACAGCACAATTATACCAGGTATTCAAAGAATAATTGGTGTAAATCCTACTGACACTTTTCCACAAGATAGAGAAGGAGGCAATCCTCCCTAAATTATTCTGTGAAGCCAGTATCACCCCAATACCAAAACCAGGAAAGGACATAACAACAACCAAAAAAAAAAAAAAACTACAGACCAATATCTCTGATGAACATAAATGCAAAAATTCTTAACAAAATACTAGCTAACCAAATCCAACAGCTTATCAAAAAGATATAATCTATCATGATCGAGGGGGTTTCATACCAGGGATGCAGGGATGGTTTAACATTCACAAGTCAATAAATGTGATGCATCACATAAACAGAATTAAAAACAAAAATTACATGATCATCTCAATAGATGCAGAAAAAGCATTTGACAAAATCCAGCATTGCTTTATGATTAAAATCCTCATCAAAATCGGCATACAAGGGACATACCACAATGTAGTAAAAGCCATTTATGACAAAGCCACAGCCAACATAAAACTGAATGGGAAAAAGTTGAAAGCATTCCCTCTGAGAACTGGAACAGGACAATGATGCCCACTCTCACCACTTCTACTAAACATAGTACTGGAAGTCCTATCCAGAGCAATCAGACAAGAGAAAAAAATAAAGGGCATTCAAATCAATAAAGAGGAAATCAAACTGTCACTGTTTGCTGATGATTTAATTGTACATCTAGCAAACCATCAAGACTCCTTCAAAAAGCTTCTAGAACTGATAAATGAATTCAGCAAAGTTTCAGGTTACAAAATTTATGTACATAAATCAGTAGTTCTGATACATCAACAGTGACCAAGCTGAGAATTGAATCAAGAACTCAACCCCTTTTACAATAACTGCAAAAATAAAATAAAATAAAATACTTAGGAATATACCTAACCAAGGAGGTGAAATATCTGTAAAAGGAAAACTACAAAACACTGCTGAAGGAAATCATAGATGACACAAACAAATGGAAACACATCCCATGCCCATGCATAGATAGAATCAATATTGGGAAAATGACCATACTGCCAAAAGCAACTTACAAATTCAATGCAATTCCTATCTGTATTAGTCCATTTTCATGCTGCTGATAAAGACATACCTGAGACTAGGCAATTTACAAAAGAAAGAGGTTTAATTGAGGGTATGGCAAGGTGGCCAAATAGGAACAGCTCTGGTCTGCAGCTCCCAGTGAGACCAATGCAGAAGGTGGGTGATTCTGCATTTCCAACTGAGGTACCCAGCTCATCTCATTGGGACTGGTTAGGCAGTGGGTGCAGCCCATGAAAGGTGAGCAGAAGCAAAGTGGGGCATGACCTCACCCAGGAAGCACAAGGGGTTGGGGAACTCCCTCCCCTAGCCAAGGGAAGCCATGAAAGGCTGTGCTGTGAGGATGGTGTTATCTGGCCCATATACTGTGCTTTTCACACGGTCCTTGCAATCCACAGGCCAGGAGATTCCCTTGGGTGCCTACACCATCAGGGCCCTGGGTTTCAAGCACAAAACTAAGCGGCTGTTTGGGCAGACAATAGCTACCTGCAGGAGTTTTTATTGTACCCCAGTGGCACCTGGAACACCAGAGAGACAGTACCATTTACTCCCCTGGAAAGGGAGCTTAAGTGAGGCAGCTGAGTGGTCTTGCTCAGTGGAGTCCACCCCCACAGAGCCCAGCAAGTTAAGATCAATGGGCTTGAAATTCTCGCTGCCAGCACAGCAGTCTGAAGTCTATGTGGGAAGCTTGAACTTGGTGGGGGGAGGGGCGTCCACCATTAGTGAGGCTTGAGTAGATGGTTTTCCCCTCACAGTGTAAACAAAGCCTCCAGGAAGTTCAAACTGGGTGCAGAACCCACAGCAGCATGGCAAAGCCACTGTAGCCAGACTGGCTCTCTAGATTTCTCCTCTCTGGGCAGGACATCTCTAAAAGAAAGGCAGCAGCCCCAGTCAGAAGCTTATAGATAAAACTCCCATCTCCCTGGGAAACAACACCTGGGGGAAGGGATGGCTGTGGGCACAGCTTCAGCAGACTTAAACGTTCCTGCCTACCAGCTCTGAAGAGAGCAGCAGATCTCCCAACACAGCACTTGAACTCTGCTAAGGGACAGACTGCCTCCTCAAGCAGGTCCCTGACACCCGTGCCACCTGACTGGGAGACACTTTCCAACAGGAGTTTACTGAGACCTCATACAGGAGAGCTCTGGCTGGCACCTGGTGAGTGCCCCTCTGGGATGAAGTTTCCAGAGGAAGGAGCAGGCAGCAATCTTTGCTGTTATGCAGGCTCCACTGGTGATACCCAGACAAACAGGGTGTGGAGTGGACCTCCAGCAAACTCCAGCAGACCTGCGGAAGAGGGGGCTGACCATTAGAAGGAAAACTAACAAACAGAAAGTAATAATATCAACATCAACAGAAAGGATGCCCAAGCAAAAACCCCATCCAAAGGTCACCAACATCAAAGACCAAAGGTAGATAAATCCGCAAAGATGAGGATAAACCAGCACAAAAAGGCTAAAAATTCCAAAAATCAGAATACCTCTTCTCCTCCAAAGGATCACAACAAGGGAACAAAACTGGACAGAGAACGAGTTTGACAAATTGACAGAAGTAGACTTCAGAAGGTGAGTAATAACAAACTCCTCTAAGCTAAAGGAGCATGTTCTAACTCAATGCAAGGAAGCAAAGACTCTTGATAAAAGGTTACAGGAACTGCTAACTTGAATAACCAGTTTAGAGAAGAACATGAATAATCTGATGGAGCTGAAAAACACAGCATGAGAACTTCATGAAACGTATACAAGTATCAATAGCTGAATCGATCAAGTGGAAGAAAGGATATTAGAGATTGAAGATGAACTTAATGAAATAAAGTGTGAATACAAGATTAGAGAAAAAAGAATGAAAGGAATCAACAAAGCCTCCAAGAAATATGGGACTATGTGAAAAGACCAAACCTATGTTTGATTGGTGTACCTTAATGTGATAGGGGAGAATGGGACCAAGTTGGAAAACACACTTCAGGATATTATCCAGGAGAACTTCCCCAACCTAGCAAGACAGACCAACATTGAAATTCAGGAAATACAGAGAACACCACTAAGATACTCCTTGAGAAGAGCAACCCCAAGACACATAACTGTCAGATTCACCAAGGTTGAAATGAAAGAAAAAATGTTAAGGGCAGCCAGAGAGAAAGGTCGGGTTACCCACAAAGGGAAGCCCATTAGACTAACAGTAAATCTATCTGCAGAAACCCTACAAGCCAGAAGAGAGTGGGGGCTAATATTCAACATTCTTAAAGAAAAGAATTTTCAACCCAGAATTTCATATCTGACCAAACTAAGCTTCATAAGTGAAGGAGAAATAAAATCCTCTACAGAGAAGCAAATGCTGAGGGATTTTGTCACCACCAGGACTGCCTTACAGGAGCTCCTGAAGGAAACACTAAATATGGAAAGGAAAAACCAGTACTACCCACGGCAAAAACAAACCAAAATGTAAATACCATTGACACAATGAAGAAATTGCCTCAACTAATGGGCAAAATAACCAGCTAACATCATATGACATGCTCAAATTCACACATAACAATATTAACCTTAAATGTAAATGGGGTGAATGCCCCAATTAAAAGACATAGATTGCAAATTGGATAAAAAGTCAAGAACCATTGGTGTGCTGTATTCAGGAGGCCCATCTCACGTGCAAAGACACACATAGGCTCAAAATAAAGGGATGGAGAAAGATTTACCAAGCAAATGGAAAGCAAAGAAAAGCAGGGGTTGCAATCCTAGTCTCTGATAAAACAGACTTTAAGCCAGCAAGGATCAAAAAAGGCAAAAAAAGGCATTACATAATGGTAAAGGGATCAATTCAACAGGAAGAGCTAACTATCCCAAATATATATGCACCCAATACAGGAGCACCCAGATTCATAAAACAAGTTCTTAGATAACTAAGAAGAGATTTAGACTCCCACACAGTAATGGTGGAAGACTTTAACATCCCACTGTCAGTATTAGACAGATCAAAGAGACAGAAAATTAACAAGGATATTTAGGACTTGAATTCAGCTCTGGACCAAGCAGACCTAATAGACATCTACAGAACTCTCCACCCCAAATCAACAGAATATACATTCTTCTCAGCACCACATAGCACTTATTCTAAAATTGACCACATAATTAGAAGTAAAACACTCCTCAGCAAATACAAGAGAACGGAAATCATATCAAACAGTCTCTCAGACCACAGTGCAATCAAATTAGAACTCAGGATTAAGAAACTCACTCAAAACCGCACAACTACATGGAAACTGAACAATCTGCTCCTGAGTGACTACTGGGTAAATAACAAAATTAAGGCAGAAATAAATAAGTTCTTTGAAACCAATGAGAACAAAGACACAAGGTACCAGAATCTCTGGGATACAGATAAAGCAGTGTTTAGAGGGAAATTGTAGCACTAAATGCCCACATGAGAAAGTGGGAAAGATCTAAAATTGACACCCTAACATCACAATTAAAAGAACTAGAGAAGCAAGAGCAAACACATTCAAAAGCTAGTGGAAGACAAGAAATAACTAAGACCAGAGCAGAACTGAAGGAGATAGAGACATGAAAAACCCTTCAAAAAATCAATGAATCCAGGAGCTGGTTTTTTAAAAAGATTAACAAAATAGATAGACCACTATCCAGACTAATAAAGAAGAAAAGAGAGAAGAATCAAACAAACACAATAAAAAATGATAAAGGGGATATCGCCACTGATCCCACAGAAATACAAACTACCATCAGAGAATACTATAAACACCTCTATGCAAATACAGTAGAAAATCTGGAAGAAATAGATAAATTCCTGGACACATACACCCTCCCAAGACTAAATCATGAAGAAGTCAAATCCCTGAATAGACCAATAACAAGTTCTGAAATTGAGGCAGTAATTAATAGCCTACCAACCAAAAAAAAAAATAGACCAATAACAAGTTCTGAAATTGAGACAGGCAGTAATAGCCTACCAACCAACAAAAGCCCAGCACCAGATGGATTCACAGCCAAATTCTACCAAAGGTACAAAGACGAGCTGGTACCATTCCTTCTGAAACTATTACAAACACTAGAAAAAGAGGGACACCTCTCTAACTCATTTTATGAGGCCAGCATCATCCTGATACAAAAACCTCGCAGAGACACAACAAGAAAATAATATTTCAGGCCAATATCCCTGATAAACATTGATGCAAAAATCCTCAATAAAATACTGGCAAACTGAATCCAGCAGCACATAAAAAGAGCTTATCCACCATGATCAAGTCAGATTCACCCCTGGGATGCAAGGCTGTTTCAACATATGCAAATCAATAAACGTAATCCATCACATAAACAGAACCAGTGAGAAAAAACACATGATTATCTCAATAGATGCGGAAAAGGCCTTTGATAAAATTCAACACAACTTCATGCTAAAAACACTCCATAAACTAGGTACTGATGGAACATATCTCAAAATAATAAGAGCTGTTTATGACAAACTCACAGCCAGTATCATAATGAATGGGCAAAAGCTGGAAACACTCCCTTTGAAAACCGTCAGAAGACAAGGATGCCCTCTGTCACCACTCCTATTCAACATAGTATTGGAAATTCTGGTCAGGGAAATCAGCAAGAGAAAGAAAAAAGGGGTATTTATATAAGAAGAGAGGAAGTCAAATTGTCTCTGTTTGCAGATGACATGAATTGTATATTTAGAAAATCCCATTGTCTAATCCCCAAAACTCCTTGATAAACAACTTCAGCAAAGTCTCAGGATACAAAATCCATGTGCAAAAATCACAAGCACATCTATACACCAATAATAGACAAACAGAGCCAAATCATAAGTGAATTCCCCTTCACAATTGCTACAAAGAGAATAAAATACCTAGGAATACAACTTACAAGGGATGTGAATGACCTCTTCAAGGAGAACTACAATCCACTGCTCAAAGAAATAAGAGATGACACAAACAAATGGAAGAACATTCCATGCTCATGGATAGAGAGAATCAATATCGTGAAAATGGCCATACTGCCCAAAGTAGTGTATAGCTTCAATGCTATTCCCATCAAGCTACCATTGACTTTCTTCACAGAATTAGAAAAAACTACTTTAAATTTCATATGGAAACAAAAAAGATCCCACATAGCCAAGACAATCCTAAGCAAAATGAACAAAGCTGGAGACATCATGCTGCCTGACTTCAAACTATACTACAAGCCTACAGTAACCAAAAGAGCATGGTACTGGTACCAAAACAGATACGTAGACGAATGGAACAGAGCAGAGGCCTCAGAAATAACACTACACATCTACAACCATCTGATCTTTGACATATGCAGGAAACTGAAACTGGACCGCTTCTTTACACTTTATACAAAAATTAACTCAAGACGGATTAAAGACTTGAACATAAGAACTAAAATCACAAAACCCTTAGAAGAAAACCTAGACAATATCATTCAGGACACAGGCATGGGCAAAGACTTCATGACTAAAACACCAAAAGTAATGGCAACAAAAGCCAAAATTGACAAATAGGATCTAATTAAACTAAAAGCTTCTGCACAGCAAAAGAAACTATCAGCAAAATTAACAGGCAACCTACAGAATGGGAGAAAATTTTTACAATCTATCCATCTGACAAAGGGCTAATATCCAGAATCCACAAAGAACTTAAATAAATTTACAAGAAAAAACTAAACAACTTCATCAAAAAGTAGGCAAAGGATATGAACAGACACTTCTCAAAAGAAGACAACATTTATGCGGCCAAAAAACATATGAACAGACACAGAGCCAAACCATCACTGGTCATTAGAGACACGCAAATCAAAACCACAGTAAGATGCTATCTCATGGCAGTTAGAATGGTGATCATTAAAAAGTCAGGAAACAACAGATGCTGAAGAGGATTGGAGAAATAGGAATGTTTTACACTGTTGGTGGGAATGTAAATTAGTTCAGCTATTGTGGAAGACACTGTGGTGATTCCTCACAGATCTAGAACCAGAAATACCATTTGACCCAGCAATCCCATTATTGGGTATATACCCAAAGGATTATAAATCATTTTGCTATAAAGACACATGCATACGTATGTTTATTGCAGCATTATTCACCATAGCAATGACTTGGAACCAACCCAAATGCCCATCAATGATACACTGGATAAAGAAAATGTGGCACATATACACCATGGAATACTATACAACCATAAAAAAGAATGAGTTCATGCCCTTTGCAGGGACATGAAATGAAACCATTATTCTCAGCAAACCAACACAGGAACAGAAAACCAAACACGCTTGTTTTCACTCATAAATGGGAGTTGAACAATGAGAACATATGGGCACAGAGAGGGGAACATCACACACTGGAGCCTGTCAGGGGTGGAGGGCTAGGGGAGGGATAGCATTAGGAGAAATACCTAATGTAGATGACGGGTAGATGGGTGCAGCAAACTACCATGACACATTTATACCTAAGTAACAAACCTTCACGTTCTGCACATGTATCCCAGAACTTAAAGGATAATTTTTTAAAAATAAAGAAAAAGAAAGAGCTTTAATTGGACTCACAGTTTCACGTGGCTGGGGAGAATCATGGCAGAAGTCAAGGAGAAGCAAGTCACATCTTATGTGGATGGCAGCAGGCAAAAAGAGAATGAGAGCCAAGAGAAACAGGTTTCCTGTTATCAAACCATCAGATATCATGAGACTTATTCACTACCACAAGAACAGTATGAAAGAAACCGCCCCCGTGACTCAATTATCTCTCACTGGGTCCCTCCCACAACACATGGGAATTATGGGAGTATGATTCAAGATGAGAATTGGGTAGGGACACAGAGTCAAACCATATTATTCCACCACTGGCTCCTGCCAAATCTCATGTCCTCACATTTCAAAACTAATCATTTCTTCCCAACAGTCCCCCAAAGTCTTAACTCGTTCAGTATTAACTCAAGAGTCCACATTCCAAAGTCTCAACTGAGACAAGGCAAGTCTCTTCCACCTATGAGTCTGTAAAATCAAAAGCAGATTAGCTACTTCCTAGATACAGTGGAGGTACAGGCATTGGGTAAACACAGCCATTCCAAATGGGAGAAATTGGCCAAAACAAAGGGGCTACAGGGCCCATGCAAGTCCAAAATCCAGGGGGGCAGTCGAGTCTTAAAGCTCCAAAATGATCTCCTTTGACTGCATGTCTCACATCCAGGTAATGCTGATGCAAAATACGGGTATCCATGGTCTTGGGCAGCCCTGCCCCTGTGGCAGTTCCACATGGCTGGAGAGGCCTCAGAATCATGGCAGAAGTCAAGGAGAAGCAAGTCACATCTTATGTGGATGGCAGCAGGCAAAAAGAGAATGAGAGCCAAGTGAAACGGGTTTCCCCTTATCAAACCATCAGATCTCATGAGACTTATTCACTACCATGAGAACAGTATGGGAGAAACTGCCCCCCACCAGGTGCCTCCCACAACACGTAGGAATTATGGGAGTACAATTCAGGATGAGATTTGGGTGGGGACACAGAGCCAAACCATATCACCATCAAAATACCACCGTCATTTTTCACAGAACTAGAAAAAACAATCTGAAAATTCATATGGAACCAAAAAAGAGCCCATGTAACCAAAGTAAGACTAAGCAAAAAGAAGAAATCTGGTGGCATCACATCATCTGATTTCAAACTATACTATAAGGCCATAGTCACTAAAACAGCATTGTACTGGTATAAAAGTAGACACATAGACCAACGGAACAGAATAGAGAACCCAGAAATAAACCCAAATACTTACAGCCAACTGATCTTTGACAAAGCAAACAAAAACAAGAAGTGGAGAAAGGACACCCTATTCAACAAATGGTGCTGGGATAATTGGCAAGCCACATGTAGGAGAATGAAATGATTCTCCTCTCTCACCTTATACAAAAATTAACTCAAGATGGATCAAGGACTTAAATTTAAGACCTGAAACTATAAAAATTCTCAAAGATAACATCGGAAAAGCCCTTCTAGACATGGGCTTAGGCAAAGATTTTATGACCAAGAACCCAAAAGCAAAGGCAACAAAAACAAAGATAAATAGGTGGGACTTAATTAAACTAAACGGCCTTTGCACAGCCAAAGGAATAGTTAGCAGAGTAAAAAGACAACCCCACAGAGTGAGAGAAAATCTTCACAATCTGTACCTCTGACAAAGGATTAATATCCAGAATCTACAAGGATCTCAAACAAATTAGAAAGAAAAAACAAACTATCCCATCAAAAAGTGGGCTAAGAACATGAATAGACAATTCTCAAAAGAAGATATACAAATGGCCAATGTGAAAAAATGTTCAACATTACTAATGACCAGGCAAATACAAGTCAAAACCATAATGCAATGCCACCTTACTCCCACAAGAATGGCCATAATCAAAAAATTAAAAAATAATAGAAGTTGGTGTGGATGCAGTGAAAAGGGAACACTTCAACACTGCTGGTGGGAATGTAAACTAGTACAACCACTATGGAAAAGAGTGTGGAGATTCCTTAAAGAACTAAAAGTAGAAATACTATTTGATCCAGCAATACCACTACTGGGTGTCTGCCCAGATGAAGAGAAATCATTATGCAAAAAAGATACTTGCACCCACATATTTATAGCAGCAATTTCCAATTGAAAAAATATGGAACCAGCTCAAATGCCCATCAATCAATGAGTGGATTAAGAAAGTATGAGATATATCTCATATTTTCTTTATATATATATATGAATACTACTCAGCCATAAAAGGGAATACATTCATAAATTAATGGCATTTGCAGCAACCTGAATGGAATTGGTGACTATTATTCTAAGTGAAGTAGCTCAGGAATGGAAAACCAACAATCATATGTTCTCACTCATAAGTAGGAGTTAAGCTAAGGGGATGCAAAGGCATAAGAATGATACAATGGACTTTGGGGACTTGGAGGAAAGGGTGGGAAGGGGTTGAGGAATGAAAGGCTACAAACTGGGTTCAGTGTATACTGTCTGGGCGACAGGTGCAACAAAATCTCACAAATCACCATTAAAGAACTTATCCATGTAACCAAATACCACCTGTTCCCCCAAAAACTTATGGAAATAAAACAAGTTAAAAAAGAAAAGAAAAAGATGGGGGAAAAACAAGACAAAGACAATCAAAATACCTTACCAACCTAAATTCCAGATAAGAAAATTTTCAGGAGTATTCTTCCAAACAAGCCTCCTATTCTCCATTCAATTGGGCAGGAATTTCCCCACGCCAGGACTCTTTCTACCACCTAGGAAGAGCCAACCAAGATCTGTCAAGGGGGCACAATGCCTCCACAGGGGCCACCAGATCAGAAAAAGAAAAAGGGTGTTGTTTGCCTTTAGAATACTTATCAAAAGACATCGTCCAGTCCCAGAAAATGTTTCCCCACTGCAAGCAAGTCCAAGTACCATGGACTGACCATCCACCCACCAGCAAGGATTGTGCCAGAGGTGGCCCTCAGTTTAAGAAAGCTCACCTCCAGGGCCAGTGCACCAGTGAAGGGCTGCCAAACCATGGCCACGCACCTACAGGGGCAATCTCAAATGATGCTCCAAATCTGTTACAATCCAGTGGGTTTTTCTTGCCCGCTGCACAGAAAATGCCAACACACTGAGACAGAAGGTATTGCAACAGAGAATGAGCTTAATAATTGCAGGAGGCTCAAGCAATGAAGACAGGAGATATTTCTCAAATCTGCCTACCTGAGAATTTGAAGACTAGAAATTTTAAGAATTGTTTGGTGGGCAGGTGGCTAGGAAATGGACACTACTGACTGGTTGGGTCAGGGATGAAAACACAGTGGTGTGAAAACTGTCTTGTGTGCTGATTCAGTTCCTGGGTGAGGGTCACAGGACCAGTTGATTCAGTTTCTTGGTATGGGTCATTGGTCCAAATAGTGTCAGTTGCTCCACCAGAACGAAAAGTCTGAAAAATATCTCAAACACCAGTCTTTTTTTTTTAAATATACTTTTTATTATACTTTAAGTTCTAGGGTACATGTGCACAACGTGCAGGTTTGTTACATATGTATACATGTGCCATGTTGGTGTGCTGCACCCATTAACTCGTCATTTACATTAGATATGTCTCCTAATACTATCCCTCCCCCCTCCCCCCACCCCACAACAAGCCCCGGTGTGTGATGCTCTCCTTCATGTGTCCAGGTGTTCTCGTTGTTCAATTCCAACCCATGAGTGAGAACATGCGGCTCAAACACCAGTCTTAAGTTTCACAATAGTGATGTTATCTATAGGAGCAAATGGAGAAATTACAAATATTGTGACTATCAGCTGACTGACTCCTGAGCAATAAACAATTATTTTAAAAAGCAAGCAAGGTAGGGAATGATGACTGCTTACTGTTTAACTATGCCTACATCTTAGCAGAATTCAGGCCACTCTGATAATTCTAACCTTGTGACATTCATCCATTTTTCAAAGGTAGTTTCTGTTCCTGAATAAGGAAGGGTAGGTTAAACTATAAACTAAATTCCTCCCACAGTTAGGCTGTCCTACATACAGAAATAAGCAAAGGCAGTTAGCTTGTGAATATAAAGGCAAGATGGAGTCAGTTATGCTTTTTTCTCTCACTTTTATAATATCACGAGCATAGTTTTGTGTTCAGTTCTCTGTCAGTGGTAGTGGTCATGACATGGGCTCTGGAGTTAGGTACACATAGTTTCTATTCCCAGATCCACCACCAATCTTGGAAAGTTACTTCACCTTTCTGAAGATTTGTATCCTTCTCTGAAATAACAAGATATTGTGGTTGAGAGGAATAAATAAAATAACATCTGCAAACCCACTCTTATTCCTGAGATCCTCTTTAAAACTAGCATCTACAGTGGTAACTTACAGTGATTCCCTCGGTTTATGTCTCTCTTTGTCTCTGTTTTCCTAAGGCTGAATGCTTCCAAGTACTCACCTGAATCCTGCCTCTTTAGTGAAATCTTTTCCAACCATTCCTGAACCAGCTGATCCTATCCTTCTATAAATTATTTCTCCCATATGTCAACATTTAATTATGTGCCATTCCTCTTGGTGAGACACTATAGAGAGGTTTAAAGGACATTGGCTGTGTGATCATTGAGGGATAATTGAGTAAATTTTTTTTTAGTGCTCACTGAGTGTTAGAGCTGCCCTCTCTTTTTTTCAGCTGTTGCTAGCAGCAGTCCCTTCTGCACCAGCAGCATCAGACCCTGGCAGGCATGTGAATACCTTAGGGATTGCTCTTGTCAGGGTCCTTCCTGCTTCTGGATTTTGGTTCCATTTGTGTTTCCTTTTGCATGTTATTCAATGGCCTCTTGTGTTATTGTGAAATACAGATTGACCGTGGCAGAATTTAACTGGAGGACACCCAGCCAGTGTCCACTGCAGTACTGATTGCTCACTTGGTGGTGGGGAGGAACACCCACACCCATATTTGGTCAAAGAATTCTTCTGTGTTGATGATGTGGTGTGAAATCAGATAAAATGGGTTTTAGAGTTTTTCTAAATATTCCTCCAAGGGAGAGATTGTTGACATTTATTTATGAAAACCTCAAGATAATAACTCTAAGGAAGTTGAGCACAGTATCCTCTTGCTTAAAAAGCCTGGTGATAGGAATTGTGTTCACTTTCCTAATTCATGAAATTTAAAATAGGGTCTTTCCTCTCTTACTTCAGAAGAGATGAAGGACAAAAGACCAGATGGGGAGGACAAGGTTGTTTATGGGGAAGTCATGTACCTCTGACCTGGATTCTACGATGTTCATTCAATCATACCTGGAAGTGTGCATCTTTGCATGTGCAGTCATATATTTCTATCACATGACTCATAATTCCCTCCCTGTCAGTGGCAATTAGGAGCTCATGTAAAGCTTAGGACAGTAAAATTATATGGTGTGTTCTTCCACTGCAACAAGGTTTCTCTGAGGTTTAAGGAAACAATAGGACAAGAGGGCTGGACACTTTACCTGGTGTCCTGCCTTCTTTTTTTATTGAGCAGCAGTCTACTCACCCATCATTTTTGACCTTCCTGTTTTCCTACCATGGGTTCAGATATAATTACTGATGTCCAGATACAATTACTTGTGCCTGGAGCTTGATGTTATTTTTTAAAAGAGAGGCCTGAGGAATGGTTTCCTAGCTGATTTCCAGGATTCTAATTTTCACTGTCTAAGTCGTTGGTTTTCAACCCTGGCTACTGGTTAGAGTCACCTTAGGAATTTAAAACATACAAATGCCTGTGTCTTCCTCAAAGAGAGTCTAATTTGATTGCTCCATGGTGTGCCTTGGGATTTGGTCATTTAAAAATGCTTCCAAGGAAAATAGTCATTTTACAGTGGAGGAACTTTAGCCCAGTGCTCAAAGTTAACATCCCCAATAATCAAAGATATAGAAATTCTGGGCATCCTAATATGATGGATGGAGAAGGTGCAGCATCGCCTCTGTGGCATTTTTGCCCAAAGTGGATAACCTGAGTTTAATTATGAGAAAATATTAGGTAAGCCCAAACTGAGGGTCATTCCACCAAATAACTCACCGATACTCTTTAAAAATGTTAAGGTCATGAAGGCAAAAGTAATTCTGAGGAACCATCCCAGATTGAAGGCGATTGAGAGGACAGAATAATGAGATGCAGTGTGTGATCTTGTATGGATCCTTGTCCAGAAAAAGGATATTAGTGGGAAGATGGAGAGGATTTGAATAGGGTCTGCAAGTTCATTCATTGTAAGATGTCAGTGATCATTTACTGATGTTGATGATTACACTGTGGTTATCTATAACGTTAATATTAGGGAAAGTTGAACGAAAAGAATATGGGGACTCTGACTATTTTTGGAACATTTTTGGAAGTGTAAGATTATTTCAAAATGAAAGTTATAAAAAAGAAGGGGGAAAAAACTTCCAGATAATCCTGAGTTCCCAGAGTTGAAGACCACTTGCCTAAGTTATCTTGCCTAATACTGTCAGAGTAATCTTCCTGGAAATGCTTTTTGTGATGTTACTGACCTTCTCAAAGCTTTCCAGTGACTCTTATCATCTATAGGATGAAATTCCAATTTCTTAAGCCATCATTCAAAGTCTCCATAATATGACCCCAATCTACTCCCTTGATCCACATTTGACTTTCTCATGTCTAAATATTTTGCAATTATTTGACTCCTTCATATAACATGCATACCTGCCTGTTCACCTCCTAAATTGTTCTTCATCCTAAGGCTTATTTCAGTCCCTGTCTCTTCATTGAAGCTTGTATGGTTATTTCTGTTAGAAGCCGTCATCCTTTGTTTCTTTGAATTCTGGAAGGTACAATGGTGTGGACTGAAACATAAGCTTTGGATTCAGAAATATGTGAGTCTGAATTCTGGTTCCACCTTTCACCAATTCTGAGATAAAAGACAAGTTAGTGATGTCTTGGGATAGAGGGATAATAGTACCTACTTAAAGGGTCATTGTGAGCATTAGATGAGGTGCAAACACAAAGGTCTCCAGCACATAACAGATTTCTTCCTCATCATTTTTGCTGCTCAATGGTCCCCAAAGGTATTATGGGTGATGCAAAGGCTTTTATCAAAATTTTCTGCAGCACCTTTTAAAAAGTCTTGTGCCTGGCCATCACTAAGATGAGAGACACCCTTGAACTGAACTGAATGTATGGGACTTTAAAAAACTCAACCGAGATTTGTTTTTCCTGGAACACAACTCAGTAAACAAGTGGATAGAAAAATGTAACCCAACAGAGGGAGAAGGGAAGCGCAATGGTTTCATATAACAGCCATGCCTTCTTAGGAAAAAGCTGTGATGCCTTCTGAGAGTTTGCTCTCAGTCAGGCAGGATCAAAGAAGTACAACTCCTTAGTACAATCCCTTAAACCGTGAGTCCTGCACAGCACCTCACTAATCCATTCCCTGCCCAGGTGATGTGTGCATAGGTGAAGAGTCAGATCTCCATAAGTCAGACACTCTTCCCCCTTTTCAGCTCCCTGACCCTCACTACTGTGTGCTCTGGTCTGGCCCCAGCTGCCAGGCCATTAGTATTGGTCTAAGAAAGCAAGACCAGGACGGGCAGCTGAGAGGAAAGTCAGAGGCCACCAAGCATGAAAAGAGAGAGATGAGGCTGTCATTGCTCAAAGTCACCCACTCTGGGTGTGTTTTATGACTGTTTCTGGATTTTGGAATATTCTCCCCTTTGTGATCATTCCAGGGACTCACCCTCCTCCTATTTCCTTCTCATTGCACTTTCTGTCCCCAGTGCACCCTTTTTATGGCCAGAGACTGGCTGTATGACTAGATGACAATTCAGTGAAAGTTACTTGTTGTGAGGACTGAGAGCCAGGCCCACCCTGCTTTTTCCCAGAAGAGACTGGAGGTTCATAAAAGCCAGCTTTAATGCAGGGCTGTGCAGGTGTGAGTGTGGTGTTAGGGAACAGGTGCAAAAGTGAAGAGTGAGACAGAAAAAAAAGATGCTGGCTGTTCATCAAATCCTGAAAGTAGAGGGAGCAAAAATTATTCTGGAAGGTGGATGTCATTCAGGAGACCTTGGAAGACCTAGAGTGTCCTCTGCACAAATAAAGTGGAGGATGGGGTTAAATTACGGAGTTGGATGACACTCATTACCTGACTTCACTTCTCTGCCTCAGTTTTTTAAATCTGTAAAAATGGGGATGCTGACACTCAGGATTTTTTATGAGGACTGTAGCTACCTGAAAACCCCTTAGGATAGTGCCTGGTGAGTAGTGAGTGCTGCGTCAGTGTGAGCTATTATAGTTATGGAAATAGGCAAAGGTGCCATCAGGAGCATTCAGAGTGAGGAGGTGCCTTCCAGTCAGGGTCCTCGCAGGCAGCTGGAGATGAAGATGGTTAAGGGGGCTTAAACTCCACAGTGGAAGGATTGAGGAGCAGTCCTGAGAAGGAATTCAGAAGCCAACAGGCATGGAAAGAGGCCAGGGGGACTGTCATTGCTCAAAGGCCACACACTGTGGGTGTGCTTTATGACTGTTACTGGCTTTGAAATCTTCTCCCCTTTGTGACCATTCCAGGGACTCGCCCTCTTCATATGTTTCTGGATTTGGAATCTTGAGCAATATTCATGACGTACAACATTCTGTGAAAAATACCTTTACCCGACAGCAGGAACAGCCAGAGTGGGTGTGGCTTCTGTCACAAATATTGTCTCCTAGGAGTCTAGGAATGTGTCCTAAGATCGAATGGTTTTGCTGAAAGCCAAGCCTAGAAATGGGCTTCAGGGGCACCTTGTGAATAGCATTTATGTTGCCAATGGAAAGCATTCATCTTTTTAAAGGAAAGCATTCATCTTAATGAAGAAATCCCATCTTATGGTCTGGGTCAGTATTTTTTGCCTCTGTACTATCCTTATTTATAAATTGAAAAGAGAAAGACCGAAGAAGAGTGACATAAGGAAGCACATGTATGAATTAACAGGACAGAAATGGGACTAGTATGTGTAAATTAAGGGAAAGCATGTATATATTTTATGTGAACATAAAAAGGACTTCTTGTTGGCCGGCGTGGTGGCTCACGCCTGTAATCCCAACACTTTGGGAGGCAGAGACAGGCGGATCACGAGGTCAGGAAATCAAGACCATCCTGGCTAACACGGTGAAACCCCGTCTCTACTAAAAATACAAAAAATTAGCCGGGCGTGGTGGTGGGCGCCTGTAGTCCCAGCTACTCAGGAGGCTGAGGCAGGAGAATGGCGTGAACCCGGGAGGCGGAGCTTGCAGTGAGCGGAAATCGTGCCACTGCACTCCAGCCTGGGCGACAGAGCGAGACTCCGTCTCAAAAAGAAAAAAAAAAAAGAAAAAGACTTCCTGTTTTAAACAGACTTCTGTGTAAAAATAAAAATAATATACACTGCCTTGAGTGGAGAGCAGACTGCAGGACCAAAACATTCCAGCAGAGTCATGAGAGAATGGGTTGTGTGGCTTCTTTGCTAAATAGTAGGTTAAACTGAGTATGTTACTGAAGAGAAAGGAGATGAAGGAGAAGATAGGTGAGGGTGAGAGAATGTGAGATGGCAAAAGGAAAAGACTGAAAGAAAGGTTTACTAAGGGCTCATCAGGTACCAGGCTTTATGTCTAATGCCTTCCACATATTAACGTACCCATTCAAACTGTCATTTTCTGATGCAGTAAGAGTGACTCTTGTGCTGCAGATGAGAAGAGGCTGAAGTGGGTGAAGTGAGTGGTCCAGAGTCATCCAGCCAGTTCATAGCAGAGCTAGTGTGTTTCACCTCGAAGTTTGTGCTCTTTGTGATTCAGACAGAAAAGTGAGACACAGAAGGAAGGCAAAGCAATTTTTGTTGTGGGTAAAGTTTACAGAAGTTACCTGTATTAGGCAGAATAATGGCCTCCTAAAAATGTCCACATCCTAATCCCTGGAACCTGTGCATGCTACTTTATTTGGCAAAAGAAAAGACTTTGCAGGTGAGATGAAGTTAAGTTTCTTGAGATGCGAGGTTATTCTGGATAATTTGGGTGGGCTCAGTGTAGTCAGAAGGGTCCTTGTAAGTGAAAGAGAGAGGCGGAAGGGTCAGGGTGAGAATGATGCAGCCAGAGAGACTCCACTGGCCATCGCTGGCTGTAAACATGCATCAAAAGACAAAATTATAACAAATTCAGTTATAGATACAATTGGCTTTTATTTGTGATTCATGAGTCAGGGCAGTTTCCATTCTGCAAAATATAGTGATAGCTCCTACTGGGCAATACAACAGTAGAACAGTGGGTTTTGTAAAATGGGAATCCAGGAACAGAAGAATATAAATAAATTGATTTAAATAAACTGATTGGTTAATTTCAGAATACTTCATATTACTTTTTTCTAAGAGTTAAAGCAGAAAGGACTTTCTTACTGTGCTGACTCAGACAGCCTGGACTCTCATGTTTTTAGGAAAATTTTGTCTGTTCTGGGATCTACCTGCTTCCTCATGTTTCAGTGTGAGTATATGGCATTTAGCATGACTGGCTCCATTCTGGAGTCACCAGGCTGTCACCTAAATGAGAGTTTGACTAAACATAAGGCATTAACACTACTGTCAGTTACCATCATTTTGGACTTCCATCATTCATAGGTTATGATGTCCTCCTAATCATACATTTATTTGAGTTTTTGTCATTCCAGCCAAAGAGAGAATATTTGACATTTGACGAATGGCTGCATGCAAACATTTAAAGGTTTTAGAGAATACAGCACACCAGGGTAACTAATATTGTGACAATCAGGAGGATCACACCAAGAGTTTGAAGTATGATCCATAGGCAGAGACCCCATGAACCAAACCAAATAAAAGAGAATAGATTAAAGAATGAGCCACATGAGAAGCCTACCCATTTTAATCAAGCAGCATATTTGTTAATTTTTGCAACTGAGTCTCTATAGTACCCACTGTATTTATTTATGTGCAACAAGAAGTGTCAGCAACTGCACAAACTCCTCCCTGTTCAGCTAGTAGGCAGCAATTCTGTTATCTGGCATCCCATAGCTGGGTTAAATTAAAACAGGGCGTGAGAACAGGTGAGTCTAGAGGTCTAACTCTAACAGGGACCACCGTGCATTTGAATAAACAGTTGTATTAGGGATGTTGTTAAAGTTAGCCACTGGGCAGAATAAAGGATCCCTTAGGTCAAATATTTGGGTTTGACATGATGACATGACACATCCAACACTCTGTCAAATTACCTGCACAAGGCGCTGATTGTGAAATTCTAGTTACAGCATTATCTTACCAAATTAAAGAGGCAGGCATGAGCAGGGAAAAATGGAGTGGGATAAGAGCCTCGTCACGATGAGGCTTGGGACATCTTGGGAAAAACTGTCCACAGCATGAAGTCATCAACTTCTTGTCCTGGTTGGCAATTTGAGTGTCTCTAGTTATGGTGTTGAACATTTTGGTTAGCTCTGAGTGGCCCACATCTCAGGCATGAGGGTTTTTCCTTGAAATTTACATTGAGTTGTCCACCTCCAGCTTATAGGTCTTCAGGAAGAGAGCAGGTCTTATACTTAGTGATGCCACAGGAGAAAATGGGATTGAAGGAGCTAGAAGAATCCAGTCCAGTCTGCAGGTGGATAATAAAAACTTGAAAACAAAATACAGGGCTACAATTTGATAACAGTTGTATTATAGTCTTTCCTCTGAACATAATTTTTCTCTATCTCTCCCTGTTTCTACCAAAGTTAATCAGAGTAAGACTAATCTGTTTACAAAATAGGTAGAGTCTCATCAAACTTGGTCTGATTCTTTATATAAGAAGTATAGCAAGAATAGCGATTGACCACATAGCATCTTTTTAAGATTGCTTTGCTGGAAGGTTTGATAAGGAATCTCAGATTAAACTTTTAGAAACCTCTCAGCACTAGGAAGCCAAACCAAGGCTGACTTCAGACTTTGCCTGCAGTACCTCAGTACCTACGGGTTCATTCTATGTATATTTCCAAATATGACATCCCAGCCAAAGCCTTGGTAATATAACCAGTATTTTTAAATGTATCCTGTTATAAACAGAACAGATTCTTATTGAACTTATGCAAATAACTATTTTCATAACAATGTGAACACCCATGAATAGTTGCCTGATTCTGGATGGAAAATGTAGGGAGAAAAATTAATGTTTCAATTTTTGTTCACAAGTTGTATTTTACCAAGTTTCTGTAAGCTATAGATAGCTTAAAAGAAAAATATTCCTTCAAATTTGGAAAACAAAACATTTAAAGAATCATCAAAACTTCAACTAAAAATTCATAAAAACATTATCCTCATTAGTTCATCTAGTCCCATGAAATTAATTTTTTGTTCTGCCTGATCTTGATTGGCAGTTTCATGAAGATATCTCTTCATTAAAGTTTTGGAAATTCTTAGCCCAATGGTATGATTCTAAAGTTATCAGAAACTTGTATTCAAGACAACTTGTCAGAGTCTTAGCCATAAATCTCCTTGGAAAACAAGCAGTTTTGGACTGTAACCATTTCCAAGTGCTTTTAGAGAAGAATCAAAACAACTGTCTGTGAATGACAAAGACTTAAGATGGCAATGGTTAAAAATCTGATAAGACTTCAGATTTGATAGATTTGATGATAATGACACCACTCACAAACAAATTTGGTTATTTCTGTGGCATGTAACACTATGACTGACAAAATATTAGATTTCTAGAAATCTCATATAATTTTTGAAACATTCACATCAATAACATACCCGCAAATATAACTTAGAGAAGGTTTGGCATCACTTGTCATTTGACAGTGTTTTCCATATAATTTAACATATCAATTAAGGTGAATTTCCATCTCGCTTCTGTTTCTCAACTGGATTACTGAGTTCAGGGCATAGTACATTAACAAATATGGCCAACAATGTATAAGCTTATGTATGTTGAAAAAGTTCCCCAGGTAATTTTGATACATACCCCTAGCTACAAACCATTGATTTAAGCCCAAGTCCTGCTTATCAGAGCAGGGGTTCTGCATCCTGCTTGCACATTAGTAGCATGTGGGAAGGCTTAAATAATAACGCCTTGGTCCCACTCTAGACCATTAAATCAAAATGTATGAGCAGAGCCTGGAAATCAGTTGTTCTTTTAAAAATTTTCCAGTGATTCCAGTGTGTAGCCATATTTCCCATTAGATTTCTCTTTCTTCTTGTGGAATTTATCTTTTTCTATTTTGGTATTACAATTATTTTTCATGTCTTATTTTTTGGAGACAGGGTCTTGCTCTGTGGCCCAAGTTGGAGTGCAGAGGCACAATCATAGCTCACTCCAACCTTGAACTCTTGGGCTCAGAGGATCCTCCCACCTCAGCTTCCCAAAGCACTGGGATGACAGTTGTGAGCCAATGCACCTGGCCCTTTGTCTTATCGTCTGTCTTAGGCTTTATGTTCCCTGGAGTAGGGACCTTGCCTTCTTCATTTCTGTATCTTTCATGAACACATGAATTGGTTATCAGGAAAAGATTCTCAGCCACGTTTAGGTTGTGTCCTGAGTCTCAGGTTCACATACTAATGCTACCGTCTTTGTCCTCCACAAGGACAGAGGTTGCTTGTGATGAAGGGTGTGGGTAACTCCACAATGCAGGTGGTGGAGGAAGGTTACCTTGTTTTTAGATATAACATTGGAACTAAGAATTCTATGTGTACATGGGGTGGAAGGGCAGGATGTATAGGAAGACAGATCTAATTAGGATGGAGAAATTATACTCAGGAGTAGTGGTAAAGGAAGTAAAAAGGATTCATGAAGAGAAGAAATGTGAACTTATCTAATGGGCTAGAGTAGGCCGCTGCAGGTTCTTCAGTAGGTGATTTTAGGAAGGTAATGAAGTAGTCATATGCTAGGAAGCATTCAGACTAGAGAAAAGAAGTCAAGCAGGACTTCAAGCAGTTGTTGAGGTTTATGGGAATGGAGAGAACAGCACAAGTGAAAGATGTTTTAAAAAGGACCAAGAAGCTTTCACAATGTATTGAATTGGGGAAACAAATGAGCAGAGGCTGGGAGTAGTCATGTCTAAGAGACAGTGGAGTACAGGAAGCATGAAGACCAGGGAAGAAGAGACCTGCAGGAATTAGTGCTTAGAAGCAGGAGTTTAGTGGGAGGAGGAGGAGATCTAGTCCCAGATACAGGTGAAGAAGTCCTTTCCCTCTCCCAAGCATGGCAGTCAGCCCTGCAGGAAATAGGATAAGAGGAAAGGTCATAATACCTACCACTCTTCCCGAAATGCAGAAACTACACCAAGGCTGCTATATCAGAGCCATCCCAGCCAGTACTCCAATCATGATGCTGACAGCGGTCCCAGCTGAGAGGTCAGGTGAACTTGCTTGTACTGACTCATCTGCCATGGAAAGAAAAGAGAAGGAATGAAGTTGATCTTATTTTACAGGGAAGTCCCCCAGGAACCAACTCTCAGCATGAAGTCGTTTCTATTTGTTCCTTCAAGGAATACATTATTTTTGTGGGAAGGTTGCTGGGAGATGATTATCCAACTAAATTCTTGCAGGTTTTTTATCTCACCAGGTTTCCAGGTTGATGGTCAGTCTTCTGTCAATTCCATCCTGACCTTTTTACACTCAGATATTTTTGAAGGCTTTGAAATTTGAGAAAGACTGATTGCTAATCTTGTATGTCATTAAAACTTCCCACTTTTTCATGGTTGCATTTTTTTTCTTAGTGTCTCAGTTGTGGCAGTTAGTGCATTTTGAATTCACCACCTCCTTTGCACAGAGACCTCACTTCCCATGGGCTCCCAGCAGGTGTGTGAAAGCAAGTCAAGTTCTGCAAGACTATTTTGCTCTGAAAGGTGATGGGCTTGAGGAATTCCCAACAGTCTTGCAGAAACTCTCTTCGAACTGCACTGCAATCTAAAACTTTCTTTTTTTTCTCTTTCTCCTCCACAGGCATCACATCTGCATCATGATCTGAGGGCTCTCCCAGGCTCCTCCCCCTCCCAGCCCACTTTCCCTCACAGGTGTTTTTCCCTCAAAATTATATTGCATGTCTAATCCCATCTTGACTGCATCTCTCTGAATGAAAACTAACATACTAGGCTTGAGACTTCATATTTAACTCTGTTCTTTTCCCTCTCCCATATTAATCAGTAACCATGTCCCAGTGGACTTTTTGTGTAATGCCTGTTTCTCCCATGTATATGTATATGTATATGTATATGTATATGTATATGTATATGTATATGTATATGTGTGTATATATGTGAATATATATATGCACATGTATATATAATACCTTCTGCATCTGTTTCTTCTTTATTTCTGTTGCAATAATTTGGGCTTAATTTCTCATCAGTCATCAGTCAACTCAGACTGATGATTAATAATCACTAATATTAGCTACTGTTGAGGGGTGCTTCCTATGTGTCAGGCCCTGTGTTAAATTATTTACATGTATCTCATTTGAGCTGTAAAATAATACTGTCAGGTAGAAAATAGAGGTGGCTTAGAGTGGTGAAAAAACTTACCCAATGTCATACAGCTAGTGACAGGCGGATCTAGGATTTGCCTCTAAGACTACCTGACTTCAAGGCTAATAATAATGGTAGCTTTAACAGCAGCTAACATTTATGAAACAGTTCCTCTGCATGTGGCATTTTGCTGAATGTTTCATTGATTATTACATTAAATCTTCAAAACAATACTGTGAAACAGGCACTCTTATTGCAATTTTCAGTTGTGGAAACTAAGGCTCAGAGAAGTTAAGAATCTTGTGCAAGAAATGTATAACTATAAATACATACATTTAAAAAGAAGAAAGATCTGAAATCAACAACCTGGCTTTACAACTTAAGGATATAGGAGAAAAACAAATGAAACCCAAAGTTAGCCAATGAAGGAAATAATAAAGATTAGAGTGGACTAGAAAAACAATAGAGAAAAGCAATGAAACCAAAAGGTGGTTCTTCAAAAAAGTTCAACAAAATTCAAAACCTTTAATTAGATCGACTAAGAAAAAAAATGAGAAGATAGAAATTACTCAAATCAGAAATGAAAGTGATTACTACCAATTTTACAGAAATAGTAAGTGTTATGAGTATTATGAATAATTATATGCCAACAAGTTAGAGAACCTGGATGAAATAAATTCCCAGAAACATAAAACCTTCCAAATGGAACCATGAAGAAACAGAAAATCTGAATAGACTAATAACTACTAGGGAGACTGAACCAATAAAACATTTGTCAAAATTCAACATTCTATCATAGTAAACACACTCAGATTATAAATAGAAGGAAACTACCTCAAATATAATAAAGGCATTATCTGAAAAGCCCAACGCTAACATCATACTCCAGGGAGAAAGACTGAAAGCTTTCCCTCTAAGATAAAAACAAGACAAGAATGCCTAGTTTTACCACTTCTATTCTATGTAGTATTGAAAGTTCTAGTAAGAGAAAGTAGGCAAGAAGAAAGAAAATAACATCCAAATCAGAAAGAAGTAAAATTAACTTTGCAGATGACAGGAACTTACATGTAGAAAACCCTAGAGATTAAAACAAAATTTTAGAACTAATAAACAGATTCAGTATAACTGCAAGATACTAAATCAACATGCAAAAATCAGTTGAAATCAGCTGTATTTCTTTTTTCTTTTTTCTCTGTCTCTTTCTCTCTCTCTCTCTTTTTTTTTTTTTTTTTTGAGACAGAGTCTCATTTTATTGCCCAAGCTGAAGTGCAGTAGCATGATCTCGGCTCACTGCAACCTCTGCCTCCCCAGTTCAAATGATTCTCCTGCCTCAGCCTCCCAAGTAGTTGAAATTACAGGCGTGTGCCACCACACCTGGCTAATTTTTTTTTTTTTTTTTTTTTTTTTTTTTTTAGTAGAGACAGGGTTTCACCATATTGGTCAGGCTGGTCTCGAACTTGTGACCCCAAATGATCTGACCACCTCAGCCTCCCAAAGTGCTGGGATTACATGTGTAAGCCGTTGCATCCAGCCAAAAAACAGTTGTATTCCTATGCACTTACAATGAACAATCTGAAAAGAAATTAAGAAAAAAATTGATTCACATTATCATCAAAAAGAATAAAGTTCTTAGGAATATACTTAACCAAGGAGGTGAAAAAATTGTAAGCTGAAAATTATAAAATGCAGCTGAAAGAAATTAAAGAATATATTAATAAATGGAAAGAAATTCCATTTTCATAGATTGGAAGACCTAATATCATTAAGATGATAATATTAATGCAATCCCTACCAGAATCCCAGTGGCATATTTTGCAGAAATAGAAAAATCCTAAAATTCATATAGAGTCTCAGGACTCTAAATAGCCAAACAATATGAAAGAATGAAGATGGAGGACTCACACTTCCTGATTTCAGAATTTACTACAAAGCCACAGTAATCAACACAGTGTGGTACTGGCATAAAGGAATACATAGAAACCAATGGAATAGAATGGAGAGCCCAGAAACAAATGCTTGCGTTTATAGTCAAATTATTTTTGACAAGGGTACCAAGACCATTCAATAGGGAAAGGATGGTCTTTTCAACAAATGATATTGGGACAGCTGGATATCCATGAAGAAGGATGAGTTGAATCTTTACTTAACACCATATAAAAATTAACACCATATAAAAATTAACCCAAAATGGATCAAAGACCTAAATCTAAGAGATAAACCTATAAAACTCTTAGAAGAAAACATAGGGGGAGAGCTTCATGACATTGGATTTCACAATGATTTCTTGGCTATGACACCCAAAGCACAGGCAACAAAAAAAAAACAGACAAATTTGACTTCATAAAAAATAAGATCTTCTCTACATCAAAGGACATTATCCAGAAAGTGAAAAGGCAACCCATGGAATGGGAGAAAATATTTGCAAATCATATATCTGATAAGGGATTAATTCTCAGAATATATAAAGAACTAATATAACTCAACAGCAAAAACCCAGAAACCCAATTTAAAAATGGGCAAAGGACTAAAACAGAGATTTCTCCAAGGAAGATATGCAAATGGCCAATAAGCACATGCAAAGATGCTAAACATCACTAATACTTAGAGATATGCAAATCAGAACCACAGTGATACACCACCACACACATGTTAGGATGGCTTTGATTTAAAGAAAAAAAAGAAAACACAAAACATGTATTTTGAGGAGGTGGGAAAATTGAAACTCTCGTGCATTGCCGGTGGGAGTGTGAAATGGTGCAGCCACAGTGGAAAATGGTAGAGCCGTTTCTCAAAAAAATTAAGCAAAGCATTACCATTTGATGCAGCAATTCCACTTCTGGTCATATGCCCAAAATAATGGAGAGTAGGGCTTTGAAAAGATATTTATACACCCATGTTGATAGTAGCATTACTCACAATAGCCAAAATGTGGAAACAGCTCAAAAGTCCACCGAACGATAAGTCAAGAGGCAAAATGAAATATATCCACACAATGGAAACTCATTCAGTCTTAACAGGTAATAAAATAAAATAAAATGCCGAGCATTTACACACTCATGAGACTCAAATTCTGATACATACTACAACGTGAATGAACCTTAAAGACGTTATGCTAAGTGAAATGTGGCCAGACACAAAAGGACAAATTTTGTATGAGTCTATTGATGTGAGGTACTTATTAATAAAATAGTCAATTACAGACAGACAGAAAGTAGAATGATGGCTACCAGGGACTAGGGTTAGAAGGAGTGGAGAGTTACTGTTTATTGAGTGCAGAGGTTTAGCATGGTGAGTTGAAAAAGTTCTGGAAATGGATAGCGGTGATGGTTGCACAACAGTATAAATATAATTGATATCACTAAACCATACTTTTTTTGGAGACAGGGTCTCACTCTGTCACCGAGGCTGGAATTC